>NC_000006.12:103252608-103404123 GCF_000001405.40 Homo sapiens | reverse complement strand
TGATCTTTCAAATTTTTTTTTCTCTTCTTTTTGTCATTTTTCTCTCTGTGAGTTGACTCTCTAACAAGATTGCTAATTACTTATTGATGAGAGTCTGCCCTTATTCTCCCATGTGCATCTGTGTCCCAACAGAAAATGCATTGCCCACTCAAATTAAATAATATGAGCAAAGTTCAACATAGAACCATTTATAAAGGTGTGGCAGTTTGAAAGAACTAAAAAGAAGTAAGGAAGGACCACTGGCATCAGAAATAGCAAAAATCATCACAACCATTACCCCTGAAGTGGCAAGGGAGAAGGAATTACTATAATCTTGAGGTGTAGCTATTTGGAGAGATATCAGAATCTTGCTGGGTGTTCTCTGTAAATATTAGTTTCTTATCGTGTGGGCATAAAGCAGTGTGCCACATGATAACTGCTCTCCCTCAGAGGAAGCAATTGAGAGAGTAAGAGAGGGTGTGTACATTGGAAGCACAATATATTTGTAATCTGGTTGTGAAAGTGACATCACTTATTTCTCCAGATTCCATTCATAGAAATGAACCACTTAGGTCCAGCTCACAGGCAAAAAGGGGGATTAAACAAAAGCATGAATCCCAGGAGGTAGAAATCATTGTGAGCCATTTTAAAGGCTGCCCAACATAGATGTTAACAATTCAAGAACTGGGTTTAAAAAATTGAAGCAAAATGACTTACATAGATAATCTGGAGATGATATGGCTGAAGAACAGTGAATAAATAGGAAACATAGGATGAATGGTTAGAGAACCACATGAGGGAAAATGGTATACAAGAACCAAGAAGGCAGTGACTTTTATGGATCATGGAAAGCAGTTTGGAATTTATGCTACAGAAAACTAGAGTGCACTGAAGCATTTTAAAGCATTGAAATGATCCAACTTAGATTGAAAATCATTGTTGTTTTTGGTTAAAGAATGGGTTTCAAAGAAACCCAAGTGAAAGAAGAAACATCAGTTAAGAAGACAATAGCAGTAACACAGGTTAGAAGTAATTCTGCTTTGGTCTAGAGTGGTGGTAATGATATGGAGAGAACTAGGTGGATCTTAGGTAGATATATTTTGGACATTGAATTGTTGAGTATTTAATAGAGCAGAATAAAGAAAAGGAAAATAAAAGAAATCTGAAGTCTACCCTAAGTTTTTGCTTCTATCATCTACATGAATTATGTTTCTATTTACTGAGATGTGGAAGACTGGAAATAGAACAGCGTTGCTACAAAAACAGCTCAACTTCAACCATTTTAAATTTGAAATATTATCAGAAAATCAAAAGGCTACATAAAATGGGAAGCTGGATAGAAGAGTTTGAATGGTAAGCTGGAGAGAAGAGTTTGGAGTTGATGGTATTCATCTGGGCTGGAGATAATTATATGGGGGTCATTACTTATAGATATGACTTAATTAGTGCATCACAGACATACTTCATGTGGAAACTTTCTATCAGAGCAGCTCTAGAGTCTGTTGATGTCTACATTTGAATAGCCACACCACTTATGTTACCAAACTGAAAAATATATTCTTTCTAAACATCTTTTTCAGGCTTAAATAACTTCACAGTTTTCTTTAAGAATGACGTATTAGTGCTTATTTTAAATTTGGGTAAATAGAGGTGCCAATCAGTGGTGGACTGGATTGAGAAAATGTTGCACATAAGTACCATGGAATACCACACAGCCATATGAAAGAATGATATCATGGCCTTTGCAGGAACATAGATACAGCTAGAGACCACTATCCTACGTGACTAATACAGGAACATAAAACCAAACACTGCGTGTCTTCACTTATAAGTGGGAGCTAAACATTGGGTACACATGGACATGTACATAGAAACAGTAGACACTGATGACTACTAGAGAAGGGAGAGAGGGAGGCCACAGGGGTTATAAAAGTAACTATTGGGTACTATCCTCACTACCTGGGCAACAGGGTCGATTGTACTCCAAACCTAAGCATCACACAATATACTCATATAACAAACCTGCACATGTAACAAGCCTGAATCTAAAACAATTGAAATTATTTAAAAAGTTGGAGTAAATGAATAATTCGAATTATTTCAGAACTCAAAGGAACTATCTACACTAATAATAAACTTAGCTTTCCATTCTTTCATGACAGAATTACTTGACTTGAAATTAACCCAGTTTCTAGGGTTCAAGTTCACAAAAACATATAGATCTAATTTTAAAGTAGCATACTAAACTTGTAGGTATACAATATTTATTATTTGTATAGTCTTAATTTTTCACATTTCAACATAAGCTTTAACAATGTCATTCCAGAATTTTGATGTATATCATTTAAATCACAGTATTATAGATAAAAAAGTAAATATAACATTTTATGTAATAAAAATATAAAACAGAGCATATTTTAGGTGATTAATTATCATTTCCAGACCAAGTCAGTAATGAGCCTGAGGTTACTGAATATTTTTTGACTAATGAGTAATTTTTAAAATAAATACTTATTCAGCATATAATCAGAAACAGATTAGGTTGGTCCCAGTGGACACAACACTAAACACAAAAAAGTTCTTTTCCTTTAAGAAATTTATATCTAAATGGAGGATATAGAGTGACAAGTAGATAACTATGAAGTAGCAATATATTTCAGAGTCATCTGAATCAGAACCACTTGGAGTTTTTTTTAAAAGGAAAACAGATTTCCGCCGGGCATAATCTCAGCACTTCGGGAGGCTGAGAGGGGCAGATCACAAGTTCAGGAGTTCGAGACCAGCCTGACCAACATGGTGAAACCCTGCCTTTACTAAAAATACAAAGATTAGCCAGGCGTGGTGGTGCACACCTGTAATCCCAGCTCCTCTGGAGGCTGAGACAGGAGAATCACTTGAACCCAGGAGGCAGAGGTTGCAGTGAGCCAAGACTGCACCACTGCACTCCAGCCTGGGCGACAGAGTGAAACTCTGTCTCAAAAAAAAAAAAAAAAGAAAAGAAAGAAAAAAGAAAAAACAAATTTCTTAGTGTAGGCACTGAGAATTTGTCTTTTATGATTGAAAGACCATAGGTATTATGCAAACATTAAACTTTAAAAACACAGTATGATATATATTGCAATTAAGGATATTTATAGGGTGTGAGGAAAGCAAGAAACCTACCCTGACTTTAAAATATTAGGGAAATTTTTGTTAAAAACTGGAGATCTTCCTATAACTTTTCATTATCATACAAAAAAATTAGATTGTTAAGCCCCATTATTCGAGGCAAGTACTTTGTCTTAGCTTGGCTGATATGGCAAAATACTATAGACTGGGTGGCTTAAACAACAGTTAAGTATTTTGTTACAGTTCTGGAGACTAGGTGTCCATGATTAAGGTGCCAGATGATTTGGTTTCTTGTGGAGCTTCTCTTTCTGGCTTGCAGACTTCTGCTCTCTTACTGTGTTCTCAAATGGCCTTTTCTTTGTGGTCACACAGAGGAGTAAGATCTTTGTTGTCTTTTCCTCTTCGTATAAGGTCATCAGCCCTATTTATTTAGGAAAAGATACCCCAGAGAGTTGCCTTGTCCCCTCCACCACATAAGATCACAGAGAGAAACCACCATCTATGAACTAGGAAACAGTCCCTTATCAGATAATTAATCTGCCAATTCCTTGATCTTGGACTTCCCAGCCTCTAGAACTATTGAAAATAAATGTTTTAGGCTGAAAGTGATGGCTCATGCCATCACTTTATTGTAATCCCAACATTTTGAGAGCCTGAGGCAGAAGGATCGCTTGAGCCCAGGAGTTCAAGACCAGCATAGGCAACATAGTGAGACCCTGTCTCTACAAAAAATAAAAAAAAAAACAGCCAGGCATAGTGGCACACACCTGTGGTCCTAGCTACTCAGGAGGCTGAGATAGGAAGATCACTGGAGCCCAAGAGGCAGAGGCTGCAGTGAGCCATAATGGCACTACTGTATTCCAGCCTGGGTGACAGAGCAAGACTCTGTCTCAAATAAGTAAATAAATAAATAAACAAATAAATAATTTTTGTTGTTTTTAAGCTACTTAGTCAACGATATTTTGTTATAGGAGCCCAAACAGACTAGGATAGGGTCCCACTTTTATGACCTTATTTAACTTTAATTATCTCCCTAAGGGTGTTATCTCTAAATACAGTCACATTATGGTTAGGGCCAGAACATGTGGATTTGGGAGTACACAATTCAGTTCAGAGCAGCAATTAAAATGAATCATTAGAAAATTAAACATAAAGAAAAGAATGCATACAAAGTACAGCTTCCAATTTCTAAAATTAAGTCCAGCAGACATAAAATTACATCTCAAGATGGTATACAACTTTTAAGTATTTACTCTCAATTTCTGAGCTTAATTTTTACAGTCTGATAGCAGTTTGAAGACCATTACCTGTCTACAGAGCATACCTTGAATAGTTATTTCTACATAGGACTTATTTTTTTATCCTGTGGATATAAACAAACTAAGCCCTATATAGAAATAATTGTTAAAACATTTTATCTGAAGTCACCAGAAGGAAATACCTATATTCATCTGGCACAGTGAAGGGAACTGGGCCCTGTAGTACTTATAAGATTTGGACATGTAGGAATATCTGCACATGTGGCTTTGTCTATAAAGAGTGATGGTCTATTTGGGTGGGAAACAAGAGCCTAAGTACTATGTCAACCAAACAAAGAAATGAGACTTTGTGATATTAGGCCTTCTCCTTAGATTTTTTTTTTAAATAGCAGTATTTTACTGTAACATAGATGTAAATATTTACATAATTTCTCAAAAAATATGTAAAAATGAGTATTTTAGTCCATTAGCTATGATATTTTTTACTTTTAGTCCCAAAACAGATATATCAAAAATTATCACATCGATATCAAACCACAAATGGATTTCTTTCTTTTGCTTCTTCCCATAGGAATGTAGGGAGGAATTGTAAGGGCTGGAGTTTAAGAAGGAAAAAGAGTTAATCTCAGTTGCCACTATCAAATGGTCGTTCAAAAATATGAATTACCCTTAGCTCTTATGAATGGTTATTTGGTATATCCTTAAGGACTCCTTTTATAACACTAACTATTTCTCTAATTTATTTCCTCCAACATCAATTAGCTTTGATAAAGCATAAAAAACTGAATGTCACATTTGGTGTGTTTCTGGATGGCTGCATTGATTTTTGGCTTGTGAATAAATTCAATTACATGCAGCACTCAGAGGTTTCTGTAATTGTAATTTTGTTGGATCTCCTCACTCAATAACTTCTCAATTTCCTGATCTCCTGTAAGGTCAAAGGTGGTAGAGTGTAGAGTAATTTTTTAAAGGAGTACATGAGTAAAATTCAATGTTTAATAATGGGCAAAGCAAATATTATTATGCGCACAGCATTTGGCTTTTAAAATTCATATTAATTGCAAAGTACCATCTGTTCAAGTTCCACGACTCTGTAGTACCTGAAACCCTGGACACTTTAGAAAATAAAAACTGTAATTTCTGCCTGGAAAAATGCCTTTTATTCTGCAATACTAAAACTGTGAACAAATTAATTAGAAATTTTTGGAGCTTAAGTTTAAATTATGAAGTTTATAATAATAATAATAAATATATTTTTAATGTGTTGTGAATATATCACACACTCCAAAAGAAAAAAGAGAACAAAGATGGTGTTTCATCCTAGGACAGGAGTTGGGAATAAGGGGAAAAGGCAGAAAAGAGGAGCAGGAGGAGGAGGAGGAGAAGGAGAATAATGTCAACAAGAAAAAGAGGGGAGAGAGAGAGAGCGCTACATTACCACCAACATCTGTACACACACTTACATACACACATAAATCCAATACACGTACTAAAAAATATAATTTATTTCACCCCATTAGCTATGGTATACTAGTCTGTTCTCAGGCTGGTAATAAAGACATACCTGAGAGTGGGTAATTTATAGAGGAAAGATGTTTAATGGACTCACAGTTTAGCATGGCTGGAAAGGCCTCAGGAAACCTACAATCATTGCAGAAGAGGAATCAAACACATCCTTCTTCACATGGTGGCAGCAAGGAGGAGAATAAGAATCCAGTGAAGGAGGATGCCCCCTGGAGAATGATTAGATCTCGTGAGAACTACTAACATGATAATAGCATGGTGGAAACTGCCCCCATGATTCAATTAACTCCCTCCAGGTCCCTCCCATGACACATAGGAATTATGGGAACTACAACTCAAGATGAGATTTGGGTAGGGACACAGCCAAACCATATTATTCCACCCCTTACCCCTCCAAAATCTCATGTCCTCACATTTCAAAACACAATCATGCCCATCCAACAGTCCCCTAAACTCTTAACTCATTCCAGCCTTAACTCAAAAGTTCAAGTCCAAAGTCTCATCTGAGAGAAGATGAGTCCCTTCTGCCTATAAGCCTGTAAAATGAAAAACAAGTTAGTTACTTCTTAGATACAATGGGAGCACAGGCATTGGGTAAATACACCTCTTCCAAATGGGAGAAATTGGCTAAAACAAAGGGGCTTCAGGCCCCATGCAATTCTGAAGCCCATGGGGCTTCAGGCCCCATGCAATAAGGCAGTCATTAAACTTTAATGTTTCAGAATAATCTCCTTTGACTCCATGTCTGACATCCATGTCATGCTGAAGCAAAGGGTGGGCTCCCAAGGTCTTGGGCAGCTCCTCCTTTGTAGCTTTGCAGGGTAGAGCCCCCTCCCCTAGCTCCATTCCCAGCTGGCATTGAGTGTCTGCAGCTTTTCCAGGCACACAGTGCAAGCTATGGGCAGATCTACAATTCTGGGTTCTGGAGGATGGTGACCTTCTTCTCATAGCTTCACTAGGCATGCCCTAGTGGGGATTCTGTGTAGGGGTTATGATCTCACCATTTCCCTTCCACGTGGCCCTAGCAGACATTCTCCATGAGTGCTCTGCCCCTGTAGCAAACATCTGCATGGACATCCAGGCATTTATTGCATCCTCTGAAATCTAGGTGAAGGTTCCCAAACCTCAATTCTTGACTTCTGTGCACCTGCAGGCTAAACACTATGTGAAAGCTGCCAAGGCTTAGGGCTTGCTCCCTCTAAAGCCATGGCCTGAGCTGTACTTTGGCCCCTTTTAGCCATGGCTGGAGTGGCTGGAAAGAATGGGACCAAGTCCTGAGGCTTCACACAGCAGAGGCACCCTGGGTCTGGCCGATGAAAACATTTGTCTCTCCTAGGCCTCCAAGCCTGTGATCGGGGGGGCTGCTGTGAAGATCTCTGATATGCTCTGGAGACATTTTCCCCATTGTCCTGGTGAGTACATTCCACTCCTTGTTACTTATGCAAATTTCTGCAGCAGGCTTGAATTTCTCCCAAGAAAATGGGTTTTTCTTTTCTACCGCATTGTCAGGCTGCAAAGTTTTATGTTCTGCTTCCTCTTGAATTGTCAGCATTTTTGTCAAAGCCATTCAACACATATCTAGGAAGTTCCAAACTTTCCCACATCTTTCTGTCTTCTGAGCCCTCTGAGTCTCTAAGAAGTTCCAGACTTTCCCACATCTTCCTCTTCTTCTGAGCCCTCCAAACTGTTCCAACTTCTGTCCATTACCCAATTCCAAAGTCGCTTCCACATTTTTGGGTATTTTTTGTTTGTTTGTTTTTTTGAGACAAAGTCTCACTCTTGTTGCCCAGGCTGGAGTGAAATGGCACAATCTCAGCTCACTGCAACTTCTGCCTCCCAGATTCAAGTGATTCTCCTGCCTCAGCCTCCCAAGTAGCTGGGATTACAGACATGTACCATCACACCCGGCTAATTTTTGTATTTTTAGTAGAGACGAGGTTTCACCATGTTGGTCAGGCTGGTCTCGAACTCCTGACCTCAAGTGATCCTTCCATCTTGGCCTCCCAAAGTGGTGGGATTACAGGCATGAGCCACTTTGCCTTTGGGTATCTTTACAGCAGTACCCCACTCTCTGTGGTACCAGTTTACTGTATTATTAGTCCATTCTCTTGCTATTAATAAAGACAATCTGAGACTGGTTAATTTATAAAGGAAAGACATTTAATTGACTCACAGTTCAGCATGATTGGGGAAGCCTCAGGAAACTTACAAACATGGTGGAGAGAGAAGCAAACTTATCCTTCTTCACATGACAGCAGGAAGGAAAATAATGAGAATGGAGCAAAGGAGGAAGCTTCTTATAAAACCATAAGATCTCACAAAAACTTATCACAAGAATAGCATGGGGGAAGCTGCCCCTCTGATTCAATTACCTCACACCGCGTCCCTCCCACAATACATGGGGATTATGGGAACTGTAATTCAAGATGAAATTTGGATGGGGACACAGCCAAACCATACCATTGGTATATAAAATTGCTATTTTATCTTCAATTTTCAGTGTCATACCTATGCCTATATTGCCATACACTGGAATATATTGGGAAATAATACTACTTCAGCTTCCTAAGAAATCAAGAGTTTTTCTGATGTGGGTGGAAGGAGGAAGAGAAAAAGTCACATTTCTTAGAGACAGAGACAGATATTTTAGGAACATGTGACAGCTGAGAATTAGCCCAGGACAAGGTCAGCGATCAAAAGTATGAACAAGTGATAGAGTGTAATTAGAAGGCACTTTTTGGTGTGTCTTAGAGGGTATGGAGAATATAAAAGATACTTTAGAATAATAATTCGCTGCTCTTGTAATTAATGTCCTAATGTAAAATTCCTTCACTTATTAGGATAGTTAAAATTATGTTTTAAAAATGGTATGGAAAAAGGTAATAATAAGCACCTAGGGTATGCACATGAGAATGCTTGCTTGAAATGAAATAATAGACAAGATCTCTGAAGATAGAAGGTCAAGACACTACTGAGAGGGCAAGGTTGAATTGATATTTTGTGTAGGTATTGAAATCACCAAATAATAATGATTGGAATCATGCTATAAAAAAAGGAGCCTCCTGTTCTTATGGAGATCTTTTAATGTACTTGATGTGGAAAATTTTCATGCAAGGACTATATTCATTTCTGACTTGTGACTTTTATATTATCCTAATATGTTTATCTTGGGAGCTTGTTTGCTATTTATTCTTAATCAAACCTACATTTTATAAGTAGGGTTGTAGCAACTCAGCATGAAATTCCTAATTGCCACCAGGTAGTAATATAAAGCACCATTTAAGGATTTACAGTTAAAAAGTTTAAGTAGATGGTGCTCTGTAAGTGATCAGAATCACATATAGGCTCAGTTCCCTCTCTAACCATTCCTGTGATGCTCTCTGCTGTGAATTAGTGTGTTGATACCTTGCAGAGAAGATAGGTTGCATGATTAATATAATAGCTGTTGAAGGGGGAAAATTTGGGCCCTGTTCTATTTTATAATAGTTCATTCCTGTGAGCTAAAATGTCTAATGATGTACTTCTATTTACCAATGTCTGCAACAAGAATACTAAATGTTTATTAGATTTCTAAGTGTCCTCCAGGACACTGTTCTGAAACTTTTTGGATGCAGGGCCAATTTATATCATTAAAAATTATTGAGGACTGTAAAGAGAGTTTATGTGTGTTATACCTATTAATATTAACTATATTAGAAATTAAAGCTAATATCAGGTTTAAATGCCTATATGCTAAGTGATTTAAAAATTACTACCAAAATCTATTATCTTAAATACTTTAATAAAAATAACAATATCTTGGGGTGGGCACTGTGGCTTATACCTGAAATCCCAGCACTTTGGGAAGCCAAGGCGGACAGATCACTTGAGGTCAGGAGTTTGAGACCAGCCTGACCAACCTGGTGAAACTCCATCTCTACTAAAAACACAAAGATTAGCTGGGCATGGTGGTGTGTGCCTGTAGTCCTGGCTACTTGGGAGGCTGAGGCAGGAGAATCACTTGAACCTGGGAGGCAGAGGTTGCAGGCAGCCGAGATTGTACCAGTGCACCCCAGCCTGGATGACAGAGTAAGATTCCATCTCAAAACAAAAACAAACAAAAAACCCAATATTTTCAAAAATTAAAGAGAAAAGTCACATTGTTTTGCATTTTTGAAGATCCATTTAATGCGTCTGGCTTAATAGAAGATAGTCAAATTCTTATTTTTGCCCCCACATTTAATCTGATGCATTATGATGCCTTGATTAAAGTACATGGATAAAATCTACTTACAGAGGTAATTGTAAATATGTCAGGTAGTCTGTGGAAAAATCCACTGGAGATTCATAAGAATAAGTTAAGCAAATAATAACCCAATTTTATTATG
Organism: Homo sapiens; assembly: GCF_000001405.40. NCBI lineage: Eukaryota > Metazoa > Chordata > Mammalia > Primates > Hominidae > Homo > Homo sapiens. Next base: position 103,393,886 of record NC_000006.12, on the reverse strand, counting down.
AAAATAGTATTGTCCTTCTGGACTTTGAGTGCAGTTCTCTAGACTGTCCATGTCTTAGAGATTCACACACAAACACAGCTACACACATACATATACATGCTCAATAGAGTCTTCAAGTACAGAAAACAGTTCAGCAGAGATGGATATGAACACATAGAAAAAGAGATAACATTTAGAGAGAATAGCATTGGGAGGTGTTAGTAGGAAGTAGGGATATTAGTCAGGGAACTCTTGGGCTGTAGCTGACTAAGTGTTTAAGTGTTGTTGACCTGAGTGTGCATAGGTCACAAAGAATTAGCATCTACAGTTAATTACAAAATGGCCTCAAAATGACTATGATGAGTTAAACCCTGTGAGGAATGGTCAGAACACAAGACCGAGCAGTTAGTCTCATCCACCTAAAATGGAAAACTGCAAAATGAGACTCTAATTGTTCTACAAAGGAAGTGTACATAAAATGCAGCACACAATAAAGAACAAAGACTATCATATTTAATATAACAGACATAGAAAGCATCGAATTACTGCATATCCCATTCCTGTTAAAAACCCTGGAACACAGAAAAACTGCTTCTTGAAGAGTGTTTAGTGCATTCACTGTACATGGGTCTTTCTTCTCATGATGGATACAAACTGAATCAAAATACGAAATGTGAAAAAATAGCTCTTCACTTTGTTTTTTGCTCCTTGTTCTTACTGTCACCTAGTAGCTATATTTTTAAATCTGATAAGACCACCATAGCCTGAAGACCTCCTCTTCCCCTTACCAATCAATTGTCCTTGCTGTTACTAGTGTTGACAAAATAAGATATAAATCTAATCAAAACAGTATTGCTTAAAGTCCTTCCCTGACTTATCTCAGATGACATGATAAACATCAAACTTTTTAGTCTATTCTTACTCTGTCCACTAATACAAGCTCACCTTCACGTTTCCCAGAGATATTTTTCTAATTGATTTGTTCAGAATTTGTCCAGGCTCTTTTTCTTTTTTTCACACACACACACACGACCTCTGGATGTTCATATGTATGGCAGGGACCAACCAACCTCGCCTACATACCCAATTACCCATTGTTGTCCTGACTTGTAAACACAAAGTAACCAAAGAGATCTTCCCAAACTAAAGTAGAAAATGAAGATAGGATGACAAATTTCCCCCATAATAGTGATAGACAATGTCTCGTTTTTTCACATGAACAAAAGTGCTTCTACAAAAAAAGTATATATATATGTATACGTATACATATATATATATATGAAAGCCAGAGCCACAAACATTATTATCCCAAGTGAAAAGAAATGAGTAGAACATAAGTGCACAGAGCAAGGATTATATTGGCATATTTATGTCTATATCTATATTTATATCAGTGTGATATTTATATCTATAGCTATATATTTATCTACCTGTATATCTGCATATATTTATATATGTTAATATATATAAAGATAAATGCATATATGTCAGTCTTGACATATGCATAGATGCATATGTGCATTTATCTTTATATATATTAAAATATATAAATACATAAATATATATACATATTTATAAGTATATATTTATATCTGTCTTGAAGGCAGATAAAATTACCATCACATACATTGCAAATATTTTTCCACCAACATATTAAGTTACAGTTAAAAAAACCTGTTATTAATATCATAATGATACTTCTCAAAATCTGTGTGGAAACACATGTTCATTTGCTATGTGAATACACTTAAATGGGAGGTTAAATCACAGTCATCTGTGTGAGCATGAGCATGGACGAAGAACCAATTGCCTAAGGGCATGTGATGTAGTACTTACCTGGACTCTTGAAACTACATGCCAATGGATCCAAAAAAGTTGGCTAGGAAGGCTTAACATATCTGTGAAACCTCCCTCTCCTCTTGAGTACAGCTTGGATAGACCCTGATGATGCTTGCTTCTGAGATGCTTACATATCTATCTTCTTCTGCACTGTCCTTTTTTTGACTAAGATAACATAGTCAATTAAAGAGACTCAAATTTTGCCTCTTTTGGGTTATTTTGTTGTCCCTCTGCTGACAAAATACATATTGATTTTACAGTTCAACAATCAAAAGAAAATCTTATGTTCCTCATTTTCATATTATTAGAAGACTCAACAATAACTTCAGTAATAATTATCTTCCTTTTTCTTCCACTTAAAAGGAAAGTAAAACAGCCTATTTAATGACATACAGGCACTTTACATTAGTAATCCCATGAAACTTTTTAATAACACACAGAAGTAGATAGTTTTATGTATATATTTATAAGGAAAAAAAGAAGTGCATAGGTATCAGGTAACTTGACTAAGTTTATACAGTTATTGAGTGACAGAACTAATATGGAACTCAGGTCAGTTTAGTCCTAGTACACTCTCTTTGTGTCAAACTTCTTTTTGAAAGATTATGATTACTGTTTATTCAAACATGCTCAATATATAAACTATACATGATTATATACAAAGGGACCAAATGGTACACTTATAAATATGATCTTGCACTGAATATCAATGTTATGGTCAATGACCAACCACATATTTGACAGTGGTCTCATAAGATTATAATGCCATATTATTACTGTACCTTTCCTATGGTTAGATACACAAATACCATTTTGTTGCAGTTGCCTATAGTATTCAGTATCATAACATGCTATATAGTTTGTAGCCTAGGAGAAATAGGCTACACTATATAGCCTACGTGTATAGTGGGATATAACATCTAAGTTTGTGTAAGTACACTGTATGTTGTTCATGCAACAAAAAGATCACCTAGTGACACATTTCTCAAAATATATCCCCATGATCAAGCAGTGCATAACTGAATTCTTGCCATAAGTATCATGTATTCAATAAAAACATTGAAATGACAAACAGAAAAAATTATATACATTGGAATAAATTATGAAAATATCTGATACAGCAACTAAGATATCTAGTAGTTAAACATATAAGTTTTGTTTGTTCTACACTGTGAGAGTACTGTCATTGGAAAAGGTTTTACGGTTTGCAAATCAGGAATTTTAATTTTGAAAATGAACACTGGCCTTGACATTTGTGCTGTACAATTAATGACAGAGGAAGTTGTGGGACTATCAGTTCTAGATATGACAAAAGTTAAACTTAGTTCTGTTGATGATTCATTTTACCTAATCAACATCTTAATAACAGGTGAATAGATTAAGAGCAATAAGTAGTCTCAATTGCTTATTGCTGATTGCTGTGATATTTTAAAGATTCAAATCAATAATTAAGATAATTAAGTCATTCAATGCCAACTTTCTATGCAGACATTTAAAATTATTTAAATAAATAGCTGGCATGCATCCATATGACATTTGAGTTATGTTGAGATGCTTTGCTCTATATATGATTAGGTACAAAGAGACTGGATGATACATTCACAAAGATAGTAAAGTCATATGAATTTACAATGGGACTTTTTAATATTAACTTTGAAAAAGGTTGAAAATTAACTTCTAAAAAGGCATTATTTGACTTAGATTCACAACACTCCAACATTTTCATTTTCATGAAGCATTTTTATTCATATGACATTATTATGCATTATCATTCAGAGAATTTCAGACAGCTGAGGGGACACCCAATAGTGTACTCATCCATCTGTTCATCCATCTTTCCATCCATCAACCTTACAGTAAATGTGCAAAATGAAAGGTCTGCCTTAGGTCATCAAATCAAAGGCAGAATTTAGTCATGGCAGTTAAAAACAAACAAACAAACAACAACAAAAAAATAGACACATATTTTTCTTGTGGCTAACTAAGCCTAAACTACCTTGTTGCCTTTATAAAATAATACAACTATAGTCTGAACAGATCTTAAATAACTATGTCAAATCTTGTGTATTTGACATATAATTTAGTTCACACTAAAAAATTCAATCAGTTAAATCTTAATAAAAACCCATAAAGATAATATTTATACAGGTACTTTTTAACAGGTAGTATACAATGTAAGAAACTCTTAGATCATATGCTTTTTTAGGTATGTATAGGAGGATGCACACTATATCCTGGATTATGATAACTTAAATCGACAGACAAGTGGTCCATCTGGTCTCTCCTTGTAACAGAGAACATGCTAATATTGCTTTGATTACAATGAATCCTTATTAAGGGATAATGTATAACTTGAAACATGGAATTATGCATGTTAAATTATCAGAAACGTCTACAATATAGCTATGTGATTAGATGTTAAAAGTGCATATACATGAGGCAAATATTTCATTTGTCTTGCAATATAATTAGAAAAGGCCCAATATAATCAGAAAATGAACCTGTATCTTAACATTTGCTGTTTGATTTATTCAAGTCTATAGGAAATAAGTAACTTTGAAATCTTGTTTCTATACCCATTTCTGTAATAACATTTTTCATATTTGTCCTTTCATTCAACAAATATTTTGAAACACTAATTATAAAAGATCTTTTAAAATATTGGAAATGCTACAATAAATGAGATAGTATCTGCCCTCAAGTAGCTAGTGAGTGAGACAGATAACAAAGTTTACAATTAGAGCACAGTGTGTTAAGAGCTGTTATGGTTCTTTGATCAAGAGGACAAGATAGCCCATAAAAAGGGCATATAATCTCTTCTTGAATATCTAGAAAACTTTGCAGTAAAAGTGCTGTCTAAGACCAGACTCAAGGATAAGTAGGAGTAAGTCAATGAAAAAGGGATAGAGCATTCTAGTTAGAAGAAAATGAGTGGGTAAAGTTCCAAAGGAGATACAAAGCATAGCATCATTAAAGAGCCACAAAGATGAATATGAAGAGGACAGATTATGAAGTGGGTGGTAGCATGAGATGATGCTGTGGTGGTGGTGACAAGAGAGTTTAGCAGACACAGTATGAATTCAAATAAGAAATAATCACTACCTTACCAAAACAATGACAATAAAGATGAAAACAGAACAGCTGGATGTTACTCATAATTGGTGGCTGATTTTCTACAAGGTTGAATGCAGAAAGTTTTTTTTCCATTTGTTTGTTTTTGTTTTTGTTTTTTGAGATGGGGTTTTTGCTCTGTTGCCCAGGCTAGAGTGCAATGGCACTATCTCAGCTCACTGCAACCTCCGCCTCCTGGGTTCAAGCAATTCTCCTGTCTCAGCCTCCCAAGTAGGTGAGCCTACAGGCACACATCACCTGTATTTTTAGTAGCAATGAGGTTTCACCATGTTGGCCCGGCTGGTCTCTAACTCTTGACCTCAGGTGATCCACCCACCTTGGCCTCCCAAACTGCTAGGATTACAGGTGTGAGCCACTGCGCATGGCCAAAGAAAGTTTTGAATGTAGTGATTTGAAATAAATAATCCATAACTGGGACAATAATATTGAGTGGAAAAAACAAACTCAGTTTCTCCCACTATACTCTCATAATAGGCTTTTTACACCAGATGTGTGGGGATTTTCCCCTACCAGCAAACAAGCAATCAGTACTGAAGTGAATGCCAACTGGGTGTCCTCTAATTCATTTCTGATCCCATTTACCTGGAGATAGTGTCAGATCATACAGATTGTGGGTTTAGTCTCTCAAGAAAGAGGGCCCCACTTCCAAAGCAACAGCAAGCCCTGGGTTGTTTTACCTGTGCTTCTGACTGACCTCCTATAAAAAAAAAAGGCTATCAAGACCCCCCTCTTTGGGTTTGAATAATTTGCTAGAGTGGCTCATAGAAGTCAAGGAAACACTTACGTTTACCCATTTATTATAAAAGTTATTACAAAGGATACACAGAAAGAAATACGTAGGGCCAGATATAGACAGAGGCCCAGAGCTCCCATCCCTTCCCTGGGCATGCCAAGGTCAAGGCATCTCTGCATGGAGCAAAGGTGACTCTCTTTTTGTTTTAGCAAAGGGACTGGTGGCATTTTGCCCCTTTACTAGAGATTTGTGGAACTTTGAACTTGAGAGAGATAATTAGGGTATTTGTCAGAAGAAATTTCTAAGCAGCAAAGAATTCAAGATGTGACTTGTGTGCTGTTAAAAGCGTTCAGTTTTATAGGGAAAACAAAGCATAAAAGTTGGAGAATTTGCAACCTGACAATGCGTTAGAAAAGAAAATACCATTTTCTGAGGAGAAATTCAAGCCAACTGCAGAAATTCACATAAGTAACAAGGAGCTGAATGTTAGCCACCAAGACAATGAGAAAAATGTATCCAGGCATGTCAGAAGTCTTCATGGCAGCCCCTCTCATCACAGGCCCAGAGGCCTAGGAGGAAAAGTGCCCTGTGTCCCAGCTCCTCCTCCTGTGGCTGAAAGGAGCCAACGTAGAGCTCACCCACCCAAATCTCATCTTGACTTGTAACTCCCACAATTCCCAGAAGTCATGGGAGGAGCCTGGTGGGAGGTAATTTCCTGTGCTCTTCTTGTGATAGTGAATAAATTTCATGAGATCTGATGATTTTAAAAATGAGTTTTCTTGCACAAGCTCTCTCTGTTTGCCTGCTGCCATCCATGTAAGATGTGACTTGCTCCTCCTTGCCTTTCACCATGATTGTGAGGCCTCCTCAGCCATATGGAACTGTAAGTCTATTAAACCTCTTTCCTTTGTAAATTGCCAAGTCTTGGGTATATCTTTATCAGCAGTGCAAAAATGAACTAATATAGCTCCCAAGGCCTTGGGCAGCTCTGCCTCTGTGGCTCTGCAGGGTACATCCCCCGCTGATGCTTTTACAGGCTAACATTGATTGCTTACAGCTTTTCCAGGTGCACAGTGCAAGCTGTTGATGGATCTATCATTCAAGGGTCTGGGGGATGTTGGTGGTACTCTTCTTCAGCTCCAATAGGCAGTGGCCCAGTGGGAATTCTGTATGGAGCTTCTAATGCCACATTTCCCCTCTGCACTGCCCTAGTAGATGTTCTCTATGAGTTCTCCACCCCTGTTACAGACTTCTGTCTGGACATTCAGATGTTTCCATACATCCTCTGAAATCTAGGCAGAGGCTGCTGAGCCTCAACTCTTGATCGCTGTGCAGCAGCAAGCCTAACACCAAGGCTTGGGGCTTCCACCCTTTGAAGTAATTGCCAGAGCTGTCCTTGGCCCCTTTTAGCCAAAGCTAGAGCTGCAGTGGCTTGAATGCAGTGTACCAAGTCCCAAGGAGGCTGCACAGAGGAGCAGTGTGGCCCTGGGCCTGCCCATAAAATCAATTTTCCCTCCTAGGCCTCTGGGTCTGTGATAGAAGGGGCTGACGAGAGGATCTCTGAAATGCCCTGGAGACATTTTCCCCATTGTGTTGGCTACTAACATTCTGCTCCTCCTTGCTTATGCAAATTTCGGCAGTTGGTTTGAATTTCTCCCCAGAAAAAGGGTTTGTCTTTTCTACCACATGGTCAGGCTGCAATTTTTCTAAACTTTTATGCTTTGCTTCTATTGTAGACATAAGTGACAATTTCAGACCATTTCTTTCTTTATGCACATGAGCATAAACTTTTATTAAAAGCCAGGCCACATTTTGAATGCTTTGCTGCTTAGAAATTTCTTCTACCAGATACCCTAAATCATCTCTCTCAAGTTAAAAGTTCTCCAGATATCTAGAGCAGGGGCAGTATGCTGCCAGTCTCTTTATTAAAGCCTAGCAAGAGTGACCTTTACTGTAGATAACAGAAGTTCCTCATCTTCATCTGAGACCACCTCAGCCTGGACTTCATTGTTCATATCACTATCAACATTTTGGCCACAACCATTCAACAAGTCTCTAGGAAGTTCCAAACTTTCCTGCATCTTCCTATCTTCTTCTGAGTTCTCTAAACTGTTCCAGCCTCTGCCCATTACACAGTTTCAAAGTTGCTTTCACATTTTCAGGTATCTTCATATCAGTGGTCCAGTTCTCTCGGTACCAACTTTCTGTATTAGTTCATTCTCACACTGCTATAAAGAACTACTTGAGACTGGGTAATTTACAAAAAAAAAAAAAGTTTAATTTACTCAAAGTTTTGCATGACTAGGAAGGCCTCAGAAAACTTACAATCATGATGGAAGGTGAATGGGAAGCAAGGCACATCTTACATGGCAGCAGGAGAGAGAGCAAGCAAGGGAGGAAGTGCCACACTTAAACCATCAGATCTCATGAGAACTCACTATCATAAGAACACCATGGGGAAAATCCTCCTCCTTGATCCAATAACTTCCTACAGCTCCCTCCCATGATATGTGGGGATCACAATTCAAGATGAGATTTGAGTGGAGACACAAGGCCAAACTATATCATTCACTTAGGAAATAATAAATGCTATGAGGATTATGAGCCTAGAACCATGGACCAAAACAAATATAAATATATAATAATATCATAGAGATTTAATTTACATAAAATAAAATATAGTGACATTAAGTGTTCAGTTCATTGAGTTTTGAAAACTGCATACATCTTTGTAACCTCCACAGCAGACAGAATAAAAAAGAAACCCATCATCCCAGAAAATATCTTAATGTTCATTTTTATTCATTTTTATTCAATTCCATATTATATTATATATAACTTATATAGTATATAAGTAACATAGTATATAAGTATTATACTTATGTAGTAACATATTATATACTTACATATAATATACTCTATAAGTAACATATATACTATATATAAGTATATAATATGTTACTACACAAGTATAATAATATATAAATACATTATATGTTACATATAATATATATAGTATATATATTACTTACATACTATATACTATTTCATGTAGTATGAAATTCAATAAATGCATAGCATTGTGTCTTGTTTACTCCACATTATGTTTTTGAGCTTCATTAAATTTTTGCATTTATTTGTAGCTTGTTCTTTTTTATTGTTGACTAATATTCCATTGTATGAATACACCACACTTTCCTTAACATTTCTTGTAGATGGGTATTAGGGTTAGTTTCAATATTTAGATATTATGACTAAGGCTTCTTTTCCAATGCTTTTTGTCATCAGATGTTTTCCTCTATTGGGTAAATACCTGAGCATTTAAATGCTAGATAATATAGTAGGTGAATGAGTAATTTTGAAAGAAATGTCAAATAGTTACCAATCATAATTGTATCACTTTACTTCCCAAACTAAATCTGATAAACATATGAATGTGCTAAGAGCTCCATATTTTTCAAGACACTTTCTATTGTTAGTGTTTTGATTTTTTTGAAGACTTTCTCCATTTGAACCTTCTTACTTCCCTTGAATTATTTTATTGTCTTATTTGTCTTGTTAAGCAGCTTTATTAAAGCATAACTGACATAGATAATAGTTCTTATATTTGAAGTGCAATTTGTCATAAATTTTGACAGATACGTAAGTTCAGAAACCATCACTAGAATCAAGATAATGAACATATCCATTTCCAAAGTGTTTCCTTGTGCCCTTTTATAATGTCTTACTCCTATCCTTCTCTGCCTATCCCAAAGCAGTCACTGTTCTATTAATTTAATGTCACTCTAGATGAGTTTATGTTCTCTAGAGATTTATGTAAATAGACTGACATAGTTTATGGTCCTTATTGTCTGACTTCTTTCTCTCAACATAATACTTTGAAGATTTATCTATGTTGTGAGCATCAATAATTTGTTCATTTTTATTACTGATCAATATTCTATTGGGTTGATAAACAACTTTATCCCAGACATTGAAGTTTAATCACTGTCAGTTAACCTTGTCTTTTTAAGATCTTTCATATATATATATATATAAATACATATATATTTAAGATCTTTCATATATATACATATGTATGTACATTTTTAAATGAATGTAATACAATCATAATAACTGCTTCATTCTGTTCTGCTAATTCTAAGATTTGTGTCATTTTGAGATCAAATTTGATTGATTTATCTCCTCATGGGTCATATTTCCCTGTTCCTTTGCTTAAGTGTAATCTTGTCAATTTGATATTTTTGGGTGCTGAATATTTTTATATTCCTATAAATATCCTTGAGCTCTGTTCTGGGAGGCAGTTAAGTTACTTGGAAACAGTTTGATCTTTTCAGATCTTCCTTTAAGATCGTTAGGTGGGTCTGAAACAGTGCTCACTTTGGGGCTAGGTATTTTTTTACTAATGGGCACCCTTCTATATGATTGACCCAATATCCCATGAACAATGATATTTTTTAGACTGGCTGGTCAGAACAAGCATTATTGCCCATTCCTTCTGGCTTATGCCTTTCTGTGCTGGAGTTTGGAAATTCTCTCAAGGTAATAAACTGCCTCATCTCATTTGTTCACTGTCTTTTAGGATGCTGACTTTTATTTTTGGATACAAATGTTTTCAACATTTTCTTTACCCCCCAAAAAAGCTCAGTACTCATTAAGCAGTTCCTCCCTATTCCCTCCTGCCCACTGCTGAGCAATAAGCAACTAGTCAGTTAATTTTGTCTGTATAGATTTCTTTATTCTGGACATTGCATATAAATCAATTCATATAATATGTGACTTCTTCTTTTCGCTTAGCATAAAGGTACAAAATTTCATCAGTATTCACCATCATTGCCAAATAATATTTCATTGTGTTGATACACCACATGTTGTTTATCTATTCATTAGTTGATGGACATTTGGATTGTTTCAGCATTTTACCTATTTTGAATAATACTGCTAACAACATTTATGTATATGTTCCATTTTCTTTTATTTATGGAAGAGTTTTGAAAAGATTGGTGTTATTATTTTTAATGTTCTGTAGATTTACCAGTGAAGCCATCTGGGTCTGAGATTTTTTGGGGGGGGGGAAGTTCTTACATTATTAATTCAATCTCTTAGTTTATTACAAGTATATTCAGATTATCTATTTTTTCTAAAGTTAGTTTTGGAAGTTTATGTATTTCTGGGGCTTGGCCCATTTAATCTAGGCTATCTAATTTGTTAATATATAGTTGCTCAATCCTTTCTCTTTTTGTAAGAATGTAATAATTGATGTTGTTTGAATCTGTGTTCCCCACCCAAATCTCATTGAATTGTAATCCTCAATGTTGGAAGTAGGGCCTCATGGGAGGTGTTTGGGTCATGAGGGCAGATTTCTCATGAGTGGTTTAGTACCATCTTCTTGGTGTTATCCTCTCGATAGTGAAAGAATTCTCATGAGACCTGGTAAAGTGTGTAGCACCTCCCTCACCTCTCTCTCTTTTTCCTCCTCCTGCCACATAAGATGAGTGTAACGCCTTTACTTCTGCCATGATTGAAAGCTACCTGGAGCCTCCCCAGAAGCAGATGCCTGTGTTATGCTTCCCGTACAACCTGCAGAACCATAAGCCCAATAAACTTATTTTCTTTAAACTACCCAGTCTCAGGTATTTTTTTTACAGCTATGCAACAATGGTCTAATATAGTAATGTTCCCTCTTTATTACTGATTTTATTAATTTGAGTCTTCTTCCATTTTTTTCTCAGTCAGTCTTGCTAAAAGTTTCTGGTTTTTTTATTTTAGTATTTTTTCACGTCTACTTTTGGTTTTATTGATTTTCTATTTAATTTACTCCCATTCTATTTGTTCCTTTTTAGATGTTCTTTCTTTGGCTTTCCTTGTATTTACTTTTTGATTTCTTTTTTAGACTTATAAGGTGGAAAGCTGGATTATTGATTTGAGATTTTTTTGCCTTTTTGGTATAGGCCTTTCATCTACACCTTGTTTTAGTTGTATCCCATAAGTATTGGTATGTTGTGTTTTCACTTTCATTCATCTTAATGTGTTTTCTCATTTTCATTATGATTTCTTCTTTTATCTTTTCATTTAATGTTAGTTGCTTAATTTTCACATATATGAGTTTCCCCTTTCTTAACTTCAAAGTTGATTCCATTGTAGTTGGAAAGTATACTTTATATTATCTAAATTATTTAAAGTTTAATGAAGCTTGTTTATGGAATAGCATATTGTCTATTCTGGGAAATGTTCTATGTGTGCTTGAGAAGAATGTGTATTCTGCATTTTTTGGGTGGTATTCTATAGACATCTGTTCAGTCTAGATGGTTTACAGTGTTGTTCAAGTCCTCTGTTTCTCTTGAGAAAAGAATAGGTCAATCTAAACTCTCTTTTAAAAAATCATTTATATCCATTTAAAATTATATTTGTGTTCTGTTTCTCTAAAGAGCTCTGAAACATATAGAAAAAAAAGTTTAAAAGGTGAGAAATTAAAATTGGAAAGTTTACTTAGTAAAAAAATGCTTTTTTCTATATTTACTGTGCATAGTTGTATATATTATTATCCTAAAATAAATAAACTTTTTAAAAAATGTCTAGAACCCTGTAAAACTCTCTACACTAAAGTAATGGCTTAGAAAAAGTAATATACTCTTTTCTTTTCTTAGAGAAAGTATATTATGTTGGTAAATTGAGAAGAGCCAATGTTGAACACATACTAACTTTAGCATAATTCTGGGATTTTGATTGTATATTTCAAATAAATAAATAAATAAATAAAATGTGTTGAAGCCCAAATCCTTGGCACCTGGAAATGTGATGTTATCTGTAAATAGAGTCTTTGCAGATGTAATTATGTTAAGATGGGGTCATTAGAGTGGACCGATGTCATTATAAAGAGGGAAATTTGGACACAGAGATACACATAGAGAATATCATGTGAAGATGGAGTCAGAGATTGGAGTGATGCATGTACAAGCCAAGGAATGTCACCAGAAGCTGCATAAAGAGGCCAGGGACTCCTAAGGATTTCTGGCTGTCGACAAAAGGAAGGGAAAGGCATGGAACAGGTTCTCCCTCAGATTCTTCAAAATGCACCAACTTGCCTACACTTTGATTTCAGACTTATAACACCTAGAACTGTGAGACAATAAATTTCTGTTATATTCAGCCACCCAGTTTGCGGTACTTTGTTACACAGCCCTAAGCAAGTAATATACACACTATTCACAGATTCCACTTATTTGGATTCTTTATATTTTCAGAATCTTAAATTGATCATTTTGCATTTTACATGTCTGAAAAATATATGACTCATCTTTGGTCAGTATAAACTCCTGAAAGTCCATATGATTATATGACATACTATAAGGCTTAAATTTTAAAAATGTATTATTTCAAGTATTTTCCTTTCTATTAAATTGTTATTTTGCAAATTATATGTAGGTTAGTCGATCTGAGTAGTTACATTCAGGCTTCAACATTTAAAGCCCAAATTTCTAATTTTTAATTATCTGCACAGTAAAAGTGGATGCAATAGACTACTACACATTCCTTTCACATTGTTCTTTTATTTTCTTAAAAATGGAAATATGCTCTTTCTACTAAATTTTAATAAGCTGCTAACATAGGAGATGTCAAATTTGTGAGACCATTTTTTCTTAAACACACAAAGGGTATAAATGTTTATTCTTTGGCATGAATACAGAAAGCTACCATAATTGCTCTTCAATTACTGTTGCCCTTCTTTATGTAAATTGTATTTTAAGGTGACAGAGAGGGAAGATATAAGGTTTCATTTTATAACAAGATGTTTCTGTTTCCTTCATAAAGTCAACTGCAAGCCTTCATTAAGCAATGTTAAAGCAATCCATATAAATTTAGAGCATCTTTCCTTTGCTCAATTTCTTCTTTAAATAACATTTAGAAATAAATTAATATATGATTTTAGAACTCTAGCAACCACAGAGACATTTTTAAAAGTTATTTAGCATAAAGTATATTATCTATAGAGTCTTGAGAAGGCATCATGAAAGCCTAAGAAGAATTAGTATTTAAAATGTTTTCTCAAGTTTAGTATTTGATAAAAAATCAATTTCTTATTCCCCATAGGCAGCACTGGGAGCACTCATAGAGCAATGAAGGTCTGATGGCAGAAAATGCATTGAAAGAAAAGGGAGAAAAAAAGCTTGGGAAAGTTTCACCTGTGCTCTACTGAGCTGGGTTTAACAGTAATTCAAAAATATTATAGTCTCTTTTTCAGTAAACTGCTAATGAAAAATTTTAAAAAAAGAAAAAAATGTGTGTCTCAAAAAAGAAACACATAGCAGTAATACAATATGAATATTTGTGCCCTCCCAAATCTTATGTTGAAATGCAATCCCCAATGTTGGAGTTGGGGCCTTGTGGGATATATTTGGATCATGCGGATGGATCCCTCACGGATGGTTTAGCACCAGCTCCTTGGTGATAAGTGAGTTCTTGCTCAGTTAATTTACTTGACATCTGCTTATTTAAGTGTGTGGAACCACTCCCTCCAGTATCTCTCACTTGCTTTTTATTTTGCTGTACCATGTGCCTGTTCCCTCTTCGTCTTCTGCCATGATTGAAAGCTCCCTGAGGCTTCACCAGAAGCCACACAGATGCCAGCATCAAGCCTACGGAACTGTGAGCCAATTAAATCTCTTTTCTTTAAAAATTACTCAGTCTCAGGTATTTCTTTATATCAATTCAGTAACAGCCAAACACAGGCAGTAATGACTTCATCATTATATGTTAAGTAAATTTGTTTAAAGTTACCAAGATGGAGTATGTAACAGGATTAATTGTGTTGCAGTTTATCAGTGATAGAGCAAAGAAGACTATAATACAGACATTTAAAATATATGGTAGATATGAGCTGAGAGAAGTAAAATAAACACATGAAAATATATAGAAGTCTTTCTACAATTAGGATTTTGATGTGTTTTTTAAATAGTTTATTAATTATTCAACATTTAATTAATCCCAACTGTGTGTACTACATTAAACTAGCTACTATTTCATATTAATTCTGTCTGACTTCAAAGAATACACATTTTGGCACTGGGAGATTTCTAAGCAAAGAGACAATAGTAATAAAATGTACAAAGCATTAGGATACAGTTACCACCAAATGCTTTGAGAAATATGTAGATAGTCATATCTTTTGAATTATTAATTCAAAATTAATTTGTTTAATATTAATTTATTGTTAATTATAAGTAATATTAATAAATACCACTAATTAATTAATTACATTAATATTAAATTATTTTCTATGGAAAGGTAAATTAATGTATGATATCTGAAAATAGTAAAACAGAAAAGCAGGATAAGCAGAATCCTGGTTGTATTATCAAATTTACAGAAAATATATATTTTCTACAGTAAAAATTTAAACCAAACGTACAAAAATATTAAGAAGCTATATTCACTACTCTGCAGAAAAAGTTTAGTAGGAAAATAGATCCTCCATCAATGTTTTCTAAATATTGATAATTCTGTATAATAATGATTTAATTTTAGTCTTTCATTTTTATAGTAACCTTATACCAGCAGATTATGAATTAATCAGAAAAACCCTTCTAATTACATACAGTGATGCCACTTTACACCCTACATTTACATTTATGTTTAGGGCATCATAGAAACACCATGTGGCCTGATGGCCTCTGGGGTATACAAAGATGTCACTGTAATCCAAATAAAGAGAAAAGTTGGGAGATTGATTCATACAGGATACAGGGTGGCATAAGCATATTAAAATCAGTAAGTAGAACAATATTATTGCCATCTTAAAGTAATGTTGCAAGTTTAAAGGTTACTAGCTTTATAATCTTGTTTTACATTCTGAAATATGTTTCAATATATAATCATATAAAGGTATTTTCTTATTGTATAGTATTGTATATTTTAAAATACTTAATTGAAATATATTATCCAAAGGATTCTTTTAAAATCTTGAGTCCTGGACACTGCTGCTGCTGAAAAGCCTTCCACAAAGTAAATCCACCCTGTATGTTGAAGAGCAGTGTCCACAGCACCCAAAAAAATGAGTCACAGAAGCCATCTAGTTTTGGAGCGCTTCCGTCCTTCCTTTATTCACACTCATTGGAGGACACTTGATGAGAGAGTTCAGGGCATTCTTACTTTTTTTTTTTCTCAATCCTTGGGTTAGAAAACCACGTTTCCATTAGCATACCTGAGCTGGAGAGTTAAATGGTAACACAAGACACAGATAAAAATCTCACAAGAAATCTGTTTGAGTGTGATGATTCTTATATATTTCTTTTTTTTATTATTATACTTTAAGTTTTAGGGTACCTGTGCACAACCTGCAGGTTAGTTACATATGTATACATGTGCCATGTTGGTGTGCTGCACCCAGTAACTCCTCATTTAACATTAGGTATATCTCCAAATGCTATCCTCCCCTCCCCCCACCCCACAACAGGCCCTAATGTATGATGTTCCCCTTCCTGTGTCCATGTGTTCTCATTGTTCAATTCCCACCTATGAGTGAGAACATGCGATGTTTGGTTTTTCGTCCTTGCAATAGCTTGCTAAGAATGATGGTTTCCAGCTTCATCCATGTCCCTACAAAGGACATGAACTCATCATTTTTTATGGCTGCATAGTATTCCATGGTGTATATGTGCCACATTTTGTTAATCCAGTCTATCATTGTTGGACATTTGGGTTGGTTCCAAGTCTTTGCTATTGTGAATAGTGCTGCAGTAAGCATACGTGTGCATGTGCCTTTATAGCAGCATGATTTATAATCCCAGTAATGGAATTGCTGGGTCAAATGGTATTTCTAGTTCTAGATCCCTGAGGAATCGCCACACTGACTTCCACAATGGGTGAACTAGTTTACAGTCCCACCAACAGTGTAAAAGTGTTCCTATTTCTCCACATCCTCTCCAGCACCTGTTTTTTCCTGACTTTTTAATGATCGCCATTCTAACCGGTATGAGATGGTATCTCATTGTGGTTTTGATTTGCATTTCTCTGATGGCCAGTGATGATGAGCATTTTTTCATGTGTCTTTGGCTGCATAAATGTCTTCTTTTGAGAAGTGTCTGTTCATATCCTTCACCCACTTGTTGATGGGGTTGTTTGTTTTTTTCTTGTCAATTTGTTTGAGTTCATTGTGGATTCTGGATATTAGCTCTTTGTTAGATGAGTAGATTGCAAAAATTTTCTCCCATTCTGTAGGTTGTCTGTTCACTCTGATGGTAGTTTCTTTTGCTGTGCAGAAGCTGCTTAGTTTAATTAGATCCCATTTGTCAATTTTGGCTTTTGTTGCCATTACTTTTGGTGTTTTAGCCATGAAGTCCGTGCCCATGCCTATGTCTGAATGGTGTTGCTAGGTTTTCTTGTAGGGTTTTTATGGTTTTAGGTGTAACATATAAGTCTTTAATGCATCTTGAATTAATTTTTGTATAAGGTGTAAGGAAGGGATCCAGTTTCAGCTTTCTATATATGGCTAGCCAGTTTTCCCAGCATGATTTATTAAATAGGGAATCCTTTCCCCATTTCTTGTTTTTTTCAGGTTTGTCAAAGATCAGATGGTTGTAGATATGCGGCGTTATTTCTGAGTGCTCTGTTCTGTTCCATTGGTCTATATCTCTGTTTTGGTACCAGCACCATGCTGTTTTGGTTACTATAGCCTTGTAGTATAGTTTGAAGTCAGGTAGCATGATGCTTCCAGCTTTGTTCTTTTGGCTTAGGATTGACTTGGCAATGTGGGCTCTTTTTTGGTTCCATATGAACTTTAAAGTAGTTTTTTCCAATTCTGTGAAGAAAGTCATTGGTAGCTTGATGGGGATGGCATTGAATTTATAACTTACCTTGGGCAGTATGGTCATTTTCACAATATTGATTCTTCCTACCCATGAGCATGGAATGTTCTTCCATTGGTTGTATCCTCTTTTATTTCATTGAGCAGTGGTTTGTAATTCTCCTTGAAGAAGTCCTTCACATCCCTTGTAAGTTGGATTCCTAGGTATTTTATTCTCTTTGAAGCAATTGTGAATGGGAGTTCACTCATGATTTCGCCAGGGCAATCAGGCAGGAGAAGGAAATAAAGAATATTCAATTGGGAAAAGAGGAAGTCAAATTGTCCCTGTTTGCAGATGACATGATTGTATATCTAGAAAACCCCATCTTCTCAGCCCAAAATCTTAAGCTGATAGGCAACTTCAGCAAAGTCTCAGAATACAAAATCAATGTGCAAAAATCACAAGCATTCTTATACACCAATAACAGACAAACAGAGATTCTTGTATATTTCCTTGGTCATTTTTTCCTTCATTGTTTCAAGGAAAAATGGTGAAGAGAATTGTCCTAGAGTTTACTATATTAGCAATTCACTGTTGGTAATTTCCTAGTCACTTAGCAGAGGCGGAAGAAGTATAGGCTTTAGATAAGTATGCAAAGATATTTGCTGGCCCTCACGTTCACTCTGTGTAGTCCAAAGTAAATCAGTGCAGGAATTATATAATATTTATTCCTCTTTAAATATGGTTTCTGTGTCATTCAAGTTTAAGAAACAAAATCCTGGATGACCACATATGTGTATAACAGAAATAGAAGCCATACCTCTCCACCTCCCAAATAGCATCTTGTCACCAAGAAAGTGTCAGAACTTAAGTGGGGCAGTAAATTAGAAGCAGTGAGGTGATTTATTAATTTTTCATGAAGTAATAGGACTTAAAAAGAGGAATAAGGTTATACCACTTTCTATGGCAGACTTTCTAGTCTGATCAAGAATGAAACTAAATGCTATTGTATATAATGCAAAGTTCACTGTTGATAAGAAATGTAAGATGTGTGGAAGAACTTGCTAAATATGAAAATATTTTAATTCTCAATAAGGATTTCAACTAAACTCACTAAAAAATTAATATCTAGCTTACAAGGTATAAACATATTTCTCAAGTTTCTCTGTATAAGGACTGGTTTCCCTAAAGCTCATACAAGTAAGAAAATATAAAAGAAGGCCAGGCGCAGTGGCTCATGCCTGTAATCCCAGCACTTTGGGAGGCTGAGGCGGGCGGATCACGAGGTCAGGTGATCGAGACCATCCTGGCTAACATGGTGAAACCCTGTCTCTACTAAAAATACAAAAAATTAGCTGGGCGTGGTGGCGAGCACCTGTAGTCCCAGCTATCAGGGAGGCTGAGGCAGGAGAATGGCGTGAACCTGGGAAGTGGAGCTTGCAGTGAGCCGAGGTCTTGCCACTGCACTCCAGCCTGGGCAACACAGTGAGACTCTGTCTAAAAAAAAATAAAAATAGAAAAAATAAAAAAATAAAAAAAAAAAATATATATATATATGTAAAAAAGAATAATCAACCTGGTAGATATAGGATGAGCATTACCTATATTATTACTTAAACTCATCCTGCCAGCTTTTTCTGCGATATTTGGATTTTACTGGGCAGCAAGGATCATTGGAGAAACAGTCCATCAATAATAAAGGGCTCAGAAATGAGGCTTTGCCTGGAGGTATAAGCAGTGAGTCCTCATAGTTATATCCCTGTGGGCAGAAATTGAATTTTCATAGAGATTGAATAAAATACTTAGATGGAAATGTATACAGAGATGATTGAATGAGTACTATATTGGAAGAAAATAAATAAAACTAAAAATAAGAGGAGTCAGCTTCAGAGTGAATAAGAGTACCCAAGTGACAAGTGTAAATAAAGTATTTAAAAGTACCTACTTCTCTTGAGACACATGAAAAAGTAAGAATTAATGAAAAAGTTATCTTTATTTCCTGTATTATAATTCCCTTCAGAAATTATCCCTATTTTTAATGCAGAAATATTTACAGGAAACAGAGCTTAGTGTGATATGGTTGAGAAGATTAAATGCCAGGGTGGTAAAAGTATAGATGCGTCCTGCTATTTTGTTCTCTCACATTCTCTGATCGAGAACTGGCACAATCTATCACAAGAATTTACAATTTAGTATCCCCGATAATACCTGGAAGCCCAGAGGTCAGGAATTTGCCTGAATATACATTATTTTATCTTGCATATATAATTGATCCTCTAATAGTTTAGATGTAAAGCATCTCTGATGGGATAATGTAAAAGTAGTGTCTTCAGATCATCATGTGCTCAAATCTCAATTTAGGCACCAATACTAAATAGCCCAGAGTAAGGTATTTCACTTCTCTTTGCCCCAGCCTCAGTTTTTCTGTTAATAAAATGTGGATAATGATATTTCACAGATCTATGGTATGTATAAAATTAAGTAACATGAAGAAGAATAAAGAATATAGTAGGGTGTCTGGCATATATTCAATAAATGTTCAATACATTATAACTGTTTATTATTAGTTTATTGAATATGCAAACAAACTGTTAACAAAGTACTTATTGGAAATCATAAAACTTAACAAAGCTAAAAGCTGGCTCTTTGAAAAAAAATGTATGAAATTGATAACCCTTAAGCCAGACTAAGGAAAAAAAAAAGAGAAGGCACAAATTACTAAGATTACAAATGAAAGAGGAGACATCATTGCAGATCCCATGGACATTAAAAGGATAATAAAAGAATACTAGTGACAACTATGCCCACATATCTCATATCTATGTAAGCTAAACCAATTTTTAAAAAGTCCCACAGTTTTCCAAAGTTATAAAAGAAGAAATAGACAATATGAATAGGCCTGTATCTATTAAACAAATGTCATCAATAATAAATAACCTTCCAAAACAGAAAAAGTCAAGCCCAGATGGATTCACTAGTGAATTATATTGAAACTTTAAGGAAGAAATTATATAAATTATCTGTAATTTCCTTTAGAGAATAGAAGCAGAGAGACACCATCAACAAGAAGGTCCTTATAAGATGTGGTCCCTGAACATTGGAATTCTCAGCCTTCATAACTGTTAGAAACAAATTTCTTTTCTCTGTTGAGTGTCTAGTTTCTGGTATTCTGTTATAATCCACAGAAAGTGTACTAAGACAGATAGCAAATAAGTATATAAAGAGATATTCCACATTTTTAGTTATTAGGGAAATACAAATTTAAAATTACATTGTAACACAACTATATGCATGTGGGAATGACTAAAATTGAAAGACTGACAATTTCAAAGGCTGGTGAAAATAGAAAGAAATTGACACTCACACATTGTGGGTAGGAATGAACAAATGTACAGCTACTTATCACATTATTAAGCAATCTCACTCCTACATATGTACGTACTAAAGTGAATTAAATCTTATGTTCCCACAAAAATCTCTTCACAAATATTTATAGCAGATCAATTCATAATTGCCCCAACTGGAAATAACCCAGATGCCCTTCAACAGGTGAATGGATAAACAAACTGTGTTGTACTCATAGAATAGAATATCCCTTAGAAATAAATATAATGAAAAATTGAATTGTACAACATTATGGATTAATTTTAAATGCATCTTACTAAGTAAAATCAGCCAAACTCAAAAGGCAACATATTTTGTAATTCTCATTATCATGACACCCTCAAAAAGGCAAAAGTAGAGGGGAAGAAACAAATCAATATTTGTAAGGGATTAGGAATGGGAGAAGTTGTATACAAAAGGACAGCTCAAGTGAATTTCTGAAATAATGGAAGTCCTTTGTTATGGTACTGTGTTTGGAGATAGGTATGTGACTCTATCCATTTATTAAAATCCATAAAATTATACAACACAAAAAGTAAATTTTACTGTGTACAAGTTTTTTAAAAATTAAGGAATAAGTTCAGAAATTTTGTTGTGTGTGAGATCAATACAGGCTAGATTTTTTGTGTGTTGATTTCATGCACAGTTAAGTGTTCACTAATTTTAATAATTAAATCAGTTGAAACTAAAGTCTGTTGTATTTCAAGTTGCTAAACACAAACAGAAAATACAATTTTTAAAATGTTTATTTTTCAATGGCAAAATAAATTATTAAAGATACCAATTTAAATAAGATGTTTAAAAAATTAATGAAGAAAGTGTAAACCTCCAGAGAAATACATTATAATAACTTATGTTAATGAAGAAGCATTAGATTGAAGTAAATGAAGAAAATAAAAATTTGTCAGTCCTCCAAAATATTTCCCAAATACCTCCCAAAATAAAAAACTTCCCAAAGTAAATACATTATTTTTATCATTATCATCATCATCATTATAATTAAGAATCTGGCAAGCTGATTCTAAAAATTGTATGGAAATGCCAATTCTGGAATTTGCTAAGAGAATTTGAAGAAAAAAAGTACATAGGAAAACATATTCCTAGGATTTTTATGGTCCTAGGTCTTACATTTAAGTCTTTGATCCATCTTGAGTTGATTTTTATATAAGGTGTAAGGCAGGGGTCCAGTTTCAGTTTTCTGCATATGGCTGGCCAGTTTTCCCAACAACATTTATTAAATAGGGAATCTTTTCCCCGTTGCTTGTTTGTATCAGGTTTGTCAAAGATCAGATGGTTGTAGATGTGTGGTGTTATTTCTGAGGCCTCTGTTCTGTTCCATTGGTCTATATATCCATTTTGGTAACAGTATCATGTTGTTTTGGTTACTGTAGCCTTGTAATATAGTTTGAAGTCAGGTAGCGTGATGCCTCCAGCTTTGTTCTTCTTGCCCAGGATTGTCTTGGTTATGCGGGCTTTTTCTGATTCCATATGAAGTTTAAAGTAGTGTTTTTCAATTCTGTAAAGACAGTCAGTGGAAGCTTGATGGGGATATCATTTAATCTATAAATTACTTTGGGCAGTATAGCCATTTTCATAATATTGATTCTTCCTATCCATGAGCATGGAATGGTTTTCTCTTTGTTTGTGTCCTCTCTTATTTCCTTGAGCAGTGGTTTGTAGTTCTCTTTGAAGAGGTCCTTCACAGCTCTTGTAAGTTGTATTCTTAGGTATTTTATTCTCTTAGTAGCAATTGTGAATGGGAGGTCACTCATGATTTGGCTCTCTGTCAGTTATTGGTGTATAGGAATGCTTGCAATTTTTGCACATTGATTTTGTATCCTGAGACTTTGCTGAAGTTGCTTATCAGCTTAAGAAGATTTTGGGCTGAGATGACAGGATTTTCTAAATATACAGTCATGTCATCTGCAAACAGAGAATTTGACTTCCTCTCTTCCTATGTGAATACCCTTTATTTCTTTTTCTTGCCTGATTGCCCTGGCCAGAATTTCCAATACTATATCAAATAGGAGTGGTGAGAGAGGGCATCCTTCTCTTGTGCCAGTTTTCAAAAATAATGCTTCCAGTTTTTGCCCATTCAGTAGGATATTGGCTGTGGGTTTGTCATAAACAGCTCTTATTATTTTGAGATACATTCCATCGATACCCAGTTTATTGAAAGTTTTTAGCGGCCGGGCACGGTGGCTCACGCCTGTAATCCCAGCACTTTGGGAGGCCAAGGTGGGCGGATCACAAGGTTAGGAGATTGAGACAATCCTGGCTAACACAGTGAAACCCCATCTCTACTAAAAGTACAAAAAATTAGCCGAGCGCGGTGGCAGACACCTGTAGTCCCAGCTACTCAGGAGGCTGAGGCAGGAGACTGGCGTGAACCCGGGAGGTGGAGCTTGCAGTGAGTGAGATCCGCCACTGCACTCCAGCCTGGGCGACAGAGCGAGACTCCATTTCAAAAAAAAAAAAAAAAGTTTTTAGTATGAAGGGGTGTTGAATTTTGTCAAAGGCCTTTTCTGAATCTATTGAGATAATCATGTGATTTTTGTCATTGGTTCTGTTTATGTGATGGATTCCATTTATTGATTTGCATATGTTGAATCAGCCTTGCATCCCTGGGATGAAGCCGACTTGATCGTGATAGATAAGCTTTTTGATGTGCTGCTGGATTTGGTTTGCCAGTATTTTATTGAGAATTTTCACACTGATGTTCATCAGGGATATTGGCCTGAAATTTTCTTTTTTTGTTGTGTCTCTGCCAGGTTTTGGTATCAGGATGATGCTGGCCTCATAAAATGAGTTAGGGAAGATTCCCTCTTTTTCTATTGTTTGGAATAGTTTCAATCCTAGAAGAAAACCTGGGCAATACCATTCAGGACATAGGTATGGGCAAAGACTTCATGTGTAAAACACCAAAAGCAATGCCAACAAAAGCCAAAATTGACCAGTGGGATCTAATTAGCTAAAGAGCTTCTGCATAGCAAAAGAAACTATCATCAGACTGAACAGGCAACCTACAAAATGGGAGAAAATTTTTGCAATCCATCCATCTGACAAAGGGCTAATATCCAGAATCTACAAACAACTTAAACAAATTTACAAGAAGAAAAAACAAACAACCCTATCAAAAGGTGGGCAAAGGATATGAATAGACACTTCTCAAAAGAAAACATTTATACAGCCAACAGACATATGAAAAAATGCTCATCAAGAAAACATTTATGCAGCCAACAGACATATGAAAAATGCTCATCATCACTGGTCGTTAGAGAAATGCAAAACCGCAATGAGATACCATCTCACACCAGTTAGAATGACGATCATTAAAAAGTCAGGAAAGGCCAGGCGCTGTGGCTCACGCCTGTAATTCCAGCACTTTGGGAGTCTGAGGCAGGTGGATCACAAGGTCAGGAGATTGAGACCATCCTGGCCAACACGGTGAAACCCTGGCTCTACTAAAAATACAAAAATTAGCTGGACGTGGTTGCGCATGCCGGTAATCCTAGCTACTCAGGAGGCTGAGGCAGGAGAATCACTTGAACTGGGGAGTCGGAGGTTTCTGTGAGCCGGGATTGCGCCACTGCACTCCAGCCTGGCAACAGAGAGAAACTCCATCTCAAAAAAAAAAAAAAAAAAAAAAGTCAGGAGACAGCAGATGCTGGAGAGGATGTGGAGAAATAGGAATGCTTTTACAGTGTTGGTGGGAGCGTAAATTAGTTCAACCATTGTGGAAGACAGTGTGGCTATTCCTCAAGGATCTACAACTAGAAATATAATTTGACCCAGCAATCCCATTACTGGGCATATACCCAAAGGATTATAAATCATTTTACTATAAAGACACATGCACACATAAGTTTATTGTGGCACTATTCACAATAGCAAAGTCTTGGAACCAACCCAAATGTCCATCAATAATAGACTGGATTAAGAAAATGTGGCACATATACACCATGAAATACTATGCAGTCATAAAAAACGATGAGTTCATGTCCTTTGCAGGGACATGGATGAAGGCAGAAACCATCATTCTCAGCAAACTATTACAGGAACAGGAAACCAAACACCACATGTTCTCACTCATAAGAGGGAGTTGAACAATGAGAACACATGGACATAGGGAGGGGAACATCACACACGGGCCTGTAAGGGTGTGGGGGGCTAGCGGAGAGACAACATTAGGAGAAATACCTAATGTAGGTGACGGGTTGATGGGTGCAGCAAACTACCATGGTACGTGTATATTTATGTAACAAAACTGCGTGTTCTGCTCTTGTACCCCAGAACTTAAAGTATAATTTTAAAAAAAGGAAAAAAAAAGATACATAAGACAACATCCTATTTGATACTGTATTACTTGTCTATTTCTAAGTACCACATTAATCCAAAATATAGTAACTTGTTCAGAAATTATTAGGACTTTTAAGTTAACGACAAAGGAGCATTAAATCAAGGGCTGGGTTTTCTTAACACGGATCCCATATCCATGATGATGGGCTGAGTATAAGCTCTACACGTTCCATTATCATCTAATCCCAGCCAATTTCTTTTTCCTCATCTTCTAACACACTCCACGGTACACTGTGCTCTGCTCTTCTATAAAGACACCAGACAAGCTCCTTCAACTGAATTTACTTTGTACTTGTCCTTTGTCTGGGAAGATTTTAACCCAGATATTCTGGGCAATTTTCTCATTTCATTCAGGTTTGTGAACCTAGAAAATCTGAGACATGTCTTAGTTAATTTACAAAGTTTATTTTTTCATGCGCCCATGACACAGCCTCAGAAAGTCCTGACGACATGTGCCAAGGTGATTGGGGCACAGCTTTGTTTTATACATTTTAGGGAGATATGAGACATCAATAAATATATGTAAGAAGTACATTGGTTTGATTCAGAAAGGCGGAGCATCTTGAAGCAAAGGCAGAAAGACTGGAAGCAAGGACAGGACTTTCAGGTCACAGATAGGTAAGATACAAACAGTTTCATTCTTTTGAGTTTCTGATTAGCCTTTCCACAGGAGGCAATCTGAAATGCATCTATCTTAGTAACTTTGACTAGAATGGGAGGCAGGTTTGCCCTAAGCAGTTTCTAGCTTGAATTTTTCTTAGTGATTTTGGGGGCCCAATATATTTTCCTTTCACAGGTTTTTGGTCAAAGTGCTCTTCAAACTAATTCATTTAACATCTCTCATTCTCTTTTTCTTCCTATTACATATCCCTAGCTTCTACTTTTCCTTGTAAATTCATTTATAGGACTTTTTTATGGTTTGGTTGAAATTGTGATGTTTTTCTCTTCATTAGGCTGGTGTTAAGTGTATCTGAATGAATTACTATTTTAAAGCTTAATTTTTGATATCCTGGATTTTGCTGTTTTTGAAGCCATTTAATTTGCAGTCTATATAATGACGACTTTCATTTCTGAATGTGGTTGTTGCTAGTGAACAAGACAGCCTTAACATTCCCCTCAGCCTGATGAAACTTTAGACAGGCTTCCTCCAGACTCTAGGCCCCTGCCCTGCCTTTTCTTAGACCATTTATTTTAGATAACTTATGGTTGTAAATCCCTTCTCTCCTTCTTTGAGATGTAAATCTTTTAAAAAGACTCTTGTCAGTTTTATAACCCAGGAATGTCTTTCTCAAGGACCTGGGAACCACCTCTTTGAAACCTAATCATCAAGGAAGATAATACCCTTATCTCCCAGTTTCAGTGAAAGGATAGGAATCTGAGTCCTGCCTGAGCCTTGTTCTAAGTTGTAAAAGTACCTCCTGTCATAAACATATTAGAGTGTTTAATTTTCTTTGGTAGGGACAATTAGCAAACACAGATAGCCTATGATCTTTTCCAATCCCAACTCTTAAAACCTCTCCAGCCCTTTGTCTTGACAAAGTTGGGTGTCCAGGTTTGCTCTGTGCCCTCTCCCTTATTGCTAGCACTAGTATTAGAATAAAATCAACTTCCTTCTGTTCATCTTGTCCTATGCAATTGTTCCTTACTACTAGTTAGCTTTTTGTCCAAGATCCTGAAACAAAAACAACAAAATATTGCTGGTTACGTTTACTTGTATTTGTGTTAACCATGTAGATATATGTATATATTTTTCTTATAAAGAAAAGCTTATTTCTCTATCCAAATTCAAGATATAAACTCTTCCACTTTGGTAATCTTGAGATTATCACTCAGTCTTTTAATAAGTATAATTTTTAATTGATACCTAATATATGTACATGTGTGTGGGGTAAGTGTGGTATTTTGTTACATGCATAAAATGTGTAATGATCAAACAGGGTATCCATCACTTCAAGCATTTATCATTTCTATGTGTTGGGAGCAGTTCAAGTATTCTAGCGATTTTGAAATACATAATACATTGTTGCTAACTATAGTCACCCTACCCTACTATAAAATATTAAAATGTGGCTCACGCCTGTAATCTTAGCACTTCGAGAGGCCAAGATGGGTGGATCACTTGAGTCCAGGAGTTTGACCAGTCTGGCCAACATAGCAAATCCCCATCTGTACTAAGAATACAAAAATTACCTGTGTGTGGTGGCACACACCTGTAGTCCCAGCTACTTCGGAGGCTGAGGCCCAATAATTGCTTGACTCTGAGAGGCAGAGCTTGTAGTGAGCTGAGATCTTGCCACTTTGCTCCAGCCTGGGCAATAGAGCAAGACTCTGTCTCAAAAAACAAAACAAAACAACAACAACAAAAAGCCTATGTTTGTGCCCATTAAGCAATCTCTTTTTATTCCCCCAGTCATCCACATACCAATCCCAGTCACTATTTATCATTCCACTCTCTACTACCATAAAATCAAGTATTTTAGATCCAACATATGAGTGAGAATATGCAGTATTTGTCTTTCTGTGCCTGGCTTATGTCACTTAACATAATGATCTCCAGTTCCATCTATGTTGCTGCAAATGGCATGATCTCATTCCTTTTTATGCCCAAATAATATTCCATTGTGTATATATACGTCATATTTTGTTTAACCATTATTCTGTTGATGGAAACATAGGTAGATTCCCTATCTTTGCTCTTGTGTGTAGCGCTACAATAAATACGGGAGTGCAGATATGCCTTTGATATACTGATTTCTTTTCCTTTGGATAAATACCTGGTAGTGGGATTGCTAGACATATTGTAGTTCTCTTTTTAGTGTTTTGAGAAATTTTTGATATAGTTTGGATATTTGCCCTTACCCAAATCTCATGTTGAATTATAATCCCCAATGCTTGAGGGCAAGAGGGTTGGTGGGACCTGTTTGAGTCACAGGGGCAGATTCCTCCTGGCTTGGTGCTATTATCACGATAGTGAGTAACTTCTTACAAGTTCTTGCCATTTAAAAATGTGTGCACCCTCCTGACTCTCTCTTGCTCTTTCTGTAGCCTTGTAATGTGCCTATTCCCTCTTCACATTCCACAATGACTGAAAGCTTCCTGAGGCCTCCCCAGAAGCAGATACTGGTACTGTGTTTCCCGTATAGACTGCAGAATTGTGATTCAATTAAACTTCTTTCCTTATAAATTACCCAGTCTCACATATTTATTTATAGCAATGCAAGAATGGCCTAACACAGTCTCCATACTGTTTTCCAGAGTGCCTGTACTAATTTACATTCTCAGCAATGGTGTATGATTTCCCTTTTCTTCACATCTGCACCGCCATCTGTTATTTTTCTTTTTAGTAATGGCCATTCTAACTGGGATAAAATGATAGCTCACTGTGGTTTTGAATAGCATTTCCCTGTTCATTAGTGATATGAGCATTTTTTAGTATACCTGGTAGCCATTTGTATCTCTTCTTAGAAATGTCTATTAATGACCTTCACCCACATTTTAATGGGATTATTATTTTTATTTATTTATTTGTTTTTACTGTTGAGTTGTTGGAGTTCATTGTAGATTGTGGATATTAGTTTGTCATTGGATGCATAGTTTGCAAATATTTTCTCCCATTCTGTGGGTTGTCCGTTTACACTGAGGATAATTTGTTTTGTGGAGCAGAAGCTTGTCAATTTAATTAATGCTCTCATTTTTAATTTTTGGGTTTCTTTTGTATTTGCTTTTGCAAATTTTGTTGAAAATTATTTGCCTAGATCAATGTCCAGAAGTTTTTTCTAGGTTTCCTTCTAAAATTTATATGGTTTCAGGTCTTACATTTAATTCTTTAGTCCATCTTGAGTTGATTTTTGCATATGGTGAGAGATAAGGATCCAGTTTTAGTATTCTACCTGTGGCTATCCAGTTTTTCCAGAACTATTTATCGAATAGAATATCCGTTCCCTAATTTATGTTTTTGTATGCTTTGTTGAAGATCAATTGATTGTAAGTATTTGGCTTTTTTCTGAGTTCCCAATTTTCTCTACTGGTCTATGTATCACCTTTATGTCAGTATCATGCTGTTTTGGGTACTATAGCCTTGTAGTATAATTTGAGATTAGATAATGTGATGCCTCCAGATTTTTTTCTTTTTGCTTAGGATTGCTGTAGCTATTCAGGGTCTTATTTGATTCCACGTGCATTTAAAAATTGTTTTCTTTAATTCTGTGAAACATGATGTTGGTATTTTGATAGAAATTGAGTTGAATCTGTAGATTGCTTTGGGCAGTATGGTCATTTTATTGATATTCACTCTTTTAATTCATGAGTATGGGATGTATTTCCATTTTTTGGTGTCATCTATGATTTTTTTTCAGAAGTGTTTTGTTGTTCTCCTTATAGAGATTGTATTAGTTCATTTTCACACTGCTATAAAGAACTATCTGAGACTGGGTAATTTATAAATAGGTTAAATTGACTAACAGTTCCACTTGCTGTATGAGAGGCATGGATGGTGAGGTCTTGGGAAACTTACAGTCATGGTGGAAGGGCAAAGGGGAACAAACACATCTTCACATGGCGGCAAGAGAGAAACTGAGCAAAGGGGGAAGTGCTACACACTTTCAAACAACTAGATCTTGTGAGAACTCACTAGCACAAAAAAAGCAAAGGAAATCTCTGCCCCAATGATCCAGTCATCTACCACCCAATCCCTCTCCTAAAATTGGGAATTAAAACTCAACATGAGATTTTGGTGGGAGCAGAGCCAAACCATACAATTTGCACCTGTCCCCTCTCAATTCTCATGTCCTTCTCATATTGCAAAACACAATTATTCCTTCCCAACAGTCCCCCAAAGTCTTAAATCGTTCCAGTATTAACTCAAAAAACCAAGTCCAAAGTATGATCTGTGACAAGGCAAATTTCTTCCACCTATGAGCCTGTAAAATCAAAAGCAGGTTAGTTACTTCCAAGATACGATGGGGGTGCAGGCATTGGGTAAATGTTTCCACTCCAAAAGGGAGAAATTGACAAAAACAAAAGGGCCACAGGCCCCACGCAAATCTCAAACCCATCAGGGCAGTCATTAAATCTTAAAGCTCCAAAATATTTCCTGTTGACTCCATGTCTCATATCCAAGCCACACTGACACAAGGGGTGAGTTCCCAAGGTCCTGGACAGCTCTGCCCCTGTGGCTCTGCAGGGTACAGCCACCGTGCGGGCTTTCACTGGCTGGTGTTGAATGCCTGCAGCTTTTCCAGGTGCACGGTGCAAGCTGTTGATGTTCTACCATTCTGGAGTCCAGAGGACGGTGGTCCTTTTTCCACAGCTCCATTAAGCAGTGCCCTAGTGGGGACTCTGGGTCCCCACTAGTGCTCCAACCTCACATTTACCTTCTTCACTGCCCTAGCAGAGTTTCTCCATGAGGGCTCCACCCCTGCAGCAGACTGATGCCTCAACATTCAGGTGTTTCCATACATCCTCTGAAATCTAGGAGGAGGCCCCCAAGCCTCAGCTCTTGCCCTCTGTGCACCCACAGGCCCAAAACCATGTAGAAGCTACCAAGGCTTGGGGCTTTCACCTTCTGAAGCAATGGCCCAAGCAGTATCTTGAGCCATTTTAGACATGTCTAGGGCTGGAGTGGGGATGATGTAGGGTGCTATGTCCTGAGGCTGCAAAGAGAAATTTGTCCTGGGCCTGGCCCACAAGATCATTTTTCTCTTCTAGGCCTCCAAGCCTGTAATTAGAGGGACTGCTGTGAAGGTCTCTGAAATGTCTTGGAGGCATTTTTCCTATTGTCTTGGTTATTAACATTTGGCTCCTCATTACTTATGCAACTTTATGCAGTGGACTTGAATTCCTTCCCAGAAAATGGGTTTATCTTTTCTACCACATGGTTGGGATGCAATTTTTAAAACTTTTATGCTCTGCTTCTCTTTTAAATATAAGTTCCAATGTTAGACCATCTCTTTGCAAACACATATGAGCCTAGGCTTTTAGAAGCAGCATCTTGAATGCTTTGCTGCTTAGAAATTCCCTTCACCAGATATCCTAAATTATCTGTCTCAAGTTCAAAGTTCTAAAGATCTCTAGGGCAAGGGCACAATGCTGCCACTGTCTTTATTAAAGCATAGCAAGAGTGACTTTTACTCCAGTTTCCAGTAAGTTTCTTATCTCCATCTTAGATCTCCTCAGCCTGGACTTTATTACCCATATCACTATGAGCATTTTGGTTAAAACTATTCAACAAGTTTCTAGGAAGTTCTAAACTTTTTCTCATCTTCCTGCCTTCATCTGAGCCCTCCATATTGTTCCAGCCTCAGCCTATTACACAGTTCCAAAGTTGTTTTCACATTTTCAGGTATCTCTACAGCAATGCCCAACTTCTCTGGTACCAATTTTCTATATTAGTGGGTTTTCACACTGCTATAAAGAACTACCTGAGACTGGGGAATTTATAAAGAAAAGAAGTTTTATTGACTCACAATTACACAAGCGGTACAGGAGTCATGGCTGAGGAGGCCTCAGGAAACTTACAATCATGGTGGAAGGGCAAAGGGGAAGCAATCATGTCTTCACATGTGGAGGAGAGAGAGAGAGAGAGAAAGTGAAGGAAGAAGTGCTACACACTTTCAAGTAAACAGATCTTGTGATAACTCACTGTCCCAAGAATAGCAAAGGAGAAATCTGCCCCCATGAGTCAATCACCTCCCATCAGCTCCCTCCCACGATACTCAGAATTAAAATTCAGCATGATGTTTGGGTGAAGACATAGAGCCAAATGCCATCAGAGATCTTTTACTTCCTTGGTTATGTGTACTCCTAGGTATTTCATTACATTTTTTGCAGCTATTGTAAAAGAAATTGGGTTCTTGATTTGATTCTGAGCTTGGAGCTTGGTTGTTGTTGGTCTATACCAGTGCTACTGATTTGTGAACACTGATTTTTTAAATATGAGACTTGACTGAATTCATTTATCAAATCTAGAGATCTTTTGGAGGAGTCTAGGATGTTCTAAATATACAATCATATCATTGACAAATATTGACTTCCTCTTTTCCAATATGGATGCCCATTATTTCTTTATTTTGCCTGATTACTCTGGCTTGGGCTTCTTACATTAGTCTCTTGTTAGATGAATATTTTGCCAATATTTTCTCTCATCCAGTACGTTGTTTATTCACTCTGTTGATTGTAACCTTCACTTTGCAGAAGATTTTTAGTTTAATATAGTTCCATTTGTTTCTTTTTGTTTTTGTTGTCTGAACTTTTAAGGTCTTATCCATAAAATTCTTTCCTAGACCAAAGTCCTAAAGTGTTTCCCTTATGTTTTTATCTGTTTTACCATTTCAGGCCTTACATTTAAGCCTTTACTCCATCTTGTGTTGACTTTTTTATATGAGAAGACATAGGGGGCCAGTTTTATTTTTTACTTGTAGATATTCAATTTTCTCACCTTCCATTTATTGAAGAGGGTGTTTTTTCCACAATGTACAGTTTTGGATCCTTTATTGAAAACCAGTTGGCTGTAAATACATGGGTTTATCTCTGAGTTTTCCATTTTGTTTCACTGATTTATCTTTTTGTTTTTATATCAATACCATGCTGTTTTGATTATGATAGCCTTGGAAAATATTTTTAAGTCAGGTAATGTGATGTCTCCAGCTTTGCTACTTTGCTAAGGATTGCTTTAGCTATTTGAGCTCATTTTTGATTCCATAAGAATATTATAATTGTTTTTCTATTCTGTGAAGAATGCCATTGGTATTTTGACTGGAGTTGCATTGGATCTATAGATTTGACTGGGAAACATACTCATTTTAATAATGTTAATTATTTTAATCCCTCAGAATGGAATGCCTTTCAATTTGTTTGTGCCCTCTTTAATTTCTTTCATTAGTGTTTTGTAGTTTTCATTGTAGAGGTCTTTCACCTCTCTGAGTAAATGTATTTCAAGGTATTTTATATTTTTGTAGCTATTATAAATGGGATTTCTTGATTTTTAATCAGTTAGTTCATTATTGATGCACAGCAATGCTACTAATTTTTGCATGTTGATTGTGCCTCATGCAACTTTAGAGTTTTTTTGCTATTGTCTTTAGGTTTCTTTCTATATAAGATTATGTCATCTGCAAAGAGGGACAATTTGACTTCCTCTTTTCCAATTTGGATGCCTTTTTATTCTTTTTCCTTGTCTGATTGTTCTGTCTAGAACTTCCAGTACTATTTGAATAGGAGTGGTGAAAGTGGTCATCTTGACTTGTTCCATTTCTTAAAGACTTTGAGCTTTTCCTCATTAAGTATGATGTCAGCTGTGGGTTTGTCATATATGGCCTGTATTATCTTGAGGTATATTCCTTGTATGTTTGTTGAGGGTTTCTATAAGGAAGGGGTTTTGAATTTTATCAAATTATTTTTCTGCGTGTATTGAGATAATCATATAATTTTTGTCCTTCATTCTGTTGATATGATATATCAAATTTATTGTTTTGCATATGCTGAACTATCTTTGCAACCCTGGTATAAATCCTACTTGATCATGGTGTATTATCTTTTTCACATGCTGTTGGTTTTCGTTTGCTAGTATTTTGCTGATAATTTAAAAATCTATGTTCATCTGGGATATTGACCTGTAGTTTTCTTATTTGGTGTGTCCTTATCTGGTTTAGATATCAAGGTAATGCTGGCCTTATATAATTAGTTAGGGAAAGTCCTTCCTCTTGATTTTTTTTGAAATGGGTTGAGGAAGATAATACTAGTTCTTTGTAAGTTTAGTAGAATTCTGAAGTGAAGCCATCCAGTCCTGGACTTTCCTTTGTTGGGAGTCTTTTTATTACTGATTCAATATTGTTACTCAGTTTTTGTTGGTTCAGGTTTTCAATTTCTCAGTGATTCACTTACGGTAGGTTGTGTGTGTCCAGGAATGTATCCATTTCCACTAGGTTTTTCAGTTTGTTAGTGTATAGTTGTTCATAATGGTTTTTGGTGATCTTTCATATTTCTATGGTATCACTTGAAATGTTTCCTTTTTGTATCAGATTTTGTTTATTTGAATCTTCTCTTTTTTTTCCTCAGTCTAGCTAGATAGTGGCTTATGCATTTTATCTTTTCAAAAATCTAATTTTTTATTCTATTGAATATATCTTTAATCTCTATTTCATTTAATTCTGCTGTAACTTTCATTATTTCTGTCCTTCTAAGTTTTTGGTTTGGGTTGTTCTTGATTTTCTAGTTTCTTGAGGAACATTGTTTGGTTCTTTATTTGAAATATTTCTATTTTTTTGATATAGGTCTTAATCGCTATAAACTTCCCTCTCAGCACTACTTTTGGTGTATTCAGTAGGTTTTATTATGTTGTGTTTTCATTTTCATTTATTTCAAAAAATTTAAATCTCCTTTCTAATTTCATTATTTACCAAATAGTCATTCAGGAGCATATTGTTTAATTTCTCTGTGTTTGTACATTTTCTAAAGCTTCTCTTTTTTTTTGATTTCTCATTTAATTTCACTGTGTTCTGAGAAGATAGTTGATATGATTTCAATTTTTTAAAAATGTTGTTGAGGCTTGCTTTGTGGCTTAATATATGCTCTATCCTGAAGAATGTTCCACATGGTGATGAGGAAAAAATGTGTATTCTGTAGCTTTTGAATGAAATGTTCTGTGAATGCCTGGTAAGTCTGTTTGGTCTAATATGAAGTTTAAAGCCAAGTTTCTTTGTTGATTTTCTGCTTAGAGTGGGGCATTGAAGTCCCAATTATTATTGTATTAGAGTATATCTCTTCCTTTAGAGCTAATAATATGTTTTATATATTTGGATGCACCATTGTTGGATGCATATATGTTTAGTGTTGTTATATCCTCTTGCTGAATTGATCCCTTTATCATTATATAATGACTTTCCTTTGTTCTACTTTTTTGACTTAAATTCTATTTCATCTGATGTAAGTAAAGCTCTTTCTGCTGTTTTTTTTTGGTTTTGGTTTGTTTGTTTGTTGTTATCATTGTTGTTGTTTGTAGGGAATGAATTTTTCCATCTTTTTACATTTAGTCAATGTGTGTGATGAGTTTTTTTGTAGGCAGCATATTGTTAGGCTATTTTAAAAATCCACTTAGCCAGTCTAAGTGGAAAGTTTAATCTGCTTACATTCAACAATATTATTGATATATGAGGGCTTATATCTGTCATTTTACTAATTGATTTCTGATTGTTTTGTATATCCCTGTTCCTTTGGTTCTCTTATTGTTTTTCTTTGTACTTTGCTGTTTTTTGTAGTGGTAACATTGGGTTGTTTCCTTACTTGTGTGTTTGCTCTACCCATGGTCTTTATATTTTGTGTGTTTTTGTGATGGTAAATATTTTTCTTATGACAGGAAAGCTAGATAGGCCTGTACTTGGGCCTCAGTAATCACAGCAATGGTCTAAGTGTGCCTGTCCTTGGGGCCCAGGGTGGCATATCCTGGCACCAATGTTCAGTTAGGCCATTTTATGAGCCTCCAGGCAGGGTGTTGATAGTGGCAGCAATGAGCTGGGCAAGTGGATGGGTTTTTTGGCCCCTGGGTGGTGGATATGACATGAATGATGGCAGTAGCACTGGCAGGACAAGCTTCTAACTCCCAAGTACTTCAGGCTAACGTTGGCAGTGACCATGACCAGGCTGGTGGGTCAGTCCACAGGCCTGCACGTGGCACATGTGGATGGCTGCCAGCAGTGGTTTAGTGGCAGGTTGTGTGGGTCTTGTCTCAGGCCCCTGAAAGGAGTTCTCAGGCGCCAATGTTGGTGGATGGGGCTGGGTAATTCCCAGGCTCTCGATGGCATACTTGGGCACTGAAGGGGTTGCAGAGCTGGGCCAGGTGGATCTGTCCTCAGGTTCCCCATTGGTGTGTGCAGGTGTTGGTTGTGGTAATGGGGGGCAGGAAAATCCCCATTCCCCTGACAGAATGATTGGGTGGGCCAGCAGCAGCTATGCTACAGCCCTGCTACTGGGGAGGGCAGGGTTGCTTTCAATGCTAGTAGCAGTAGGCAAGTGGCCAAGGAGAGTACACTTTTGCACCAGATGGCAGCTGTGGGCAGGATAGCCTGTCCTGAGGGCACTCATAAATGGGTGGCAACTCACTTTGGCCCTGGTGGCAGCTGCCAGTCATGGCAGTGGCTCTGGGTGGAGGATGTCAATGGGCTCCAGGAATGTGGAGATACAAGAGTTGTGGGACTCCAGGGGTGGATGGAGTCTGGTGGGTCTGGGCTCTCAAAATGGCACTCTACTGTAACTGCTTAGGTCTTCAAGTCATGTGTGACACATTGTGAGCTTCCTTTCTGGAGTTACACCACATCCTTGTTTCCAGGCAGCTCCGTGTGTTAGTCTCAGAGCCTGTAAGGATCAAGGGACTTTCCCATGGGTAGATTTGCAGGAGTCCTCAGTGGGAATGCCGACCACTGGGGGTCTCTCACTTGCCTTTTGCCTGCTTTGGGGAACCAGCTGACTCTAGCTAAGCAGGCTGCCTTACTTCCCTTTCCTTTCTTGTTTTAGGTGTTTCCTGGCCCTTCTCTGTTGAATTCATGTCTCTCTTAGATGATCTATTCAAAGTGTGATTATCTACTCACTATTTTGGTTCTTCTTTGTGGAGGAAGTTAGTACTAGATGCCTCTAGTCAGTTATCTGGAAGCTAAACATGCTTCTTTAAATATTATAATTTTAATTTTAAAACACTTTAGAGTTTACAGAGACATATGTAATTATTTCTTATTATTATTTTAATGAAAGTTCCATGTGATACATACTGAGAAACATTTTCCACTGTGGGCCTTACATAAATGTAACATCAAATTCTTCATCTCCAGTCCTCTTGCTAAGCAAAAATTGCCCAACAGCACCTGCTAAACTACAAGGAAAATTCCTTCTTCTTCTGAGAAGTGTTTTGGTCCAACTATTCGTAAAACCATCTGGACTTTTGCTGTTAAAGCTCTATAAAAAGTTATCTTCCTTTCCCCAAGGAAAAACATCCCTCAGAGTTATTCTCATGCTGCATCATTTTAGATTAAAGGTTTAAACTTAGCATTGCTTTGGTTGATATTCTCTCACTCTTATGGTATGTTATTATTGCTGGAAGAATTTTGAATCACTACATTTTCATAGGCTCTTTCTTGTGTATAATATTCCAAAATGCCATTCACTATTTCTTGCTTCAAAGTTATAGAATAAATCATCTGTATCAGTACTGACATTTCCTTAACCCCATTTAGCAATAGAATTTGCAAATAAAATAAAAGTCAAAGTCATTTAAGTAATGGGAGTTTATATCAAGGGTGAGCCTCTGTATAAGATAACAATTAAAAGCTTCTGGGAACTTCATTTTCAACGTTCAAGCATACAATTGAATTGCGTGGCAATTTTTGACAGGAATATAATTTACATAAAAAATTAACATGGATGGGAAATTTTCATAATACATCTGGATTTATAGAAATATTATAGTTAAATAAATGTATATGGGACTTAAGCATCTTATGCTGAGTATCCTAGAGTTGGAGTTGATAATTAAGACCACCTGCATCCACATAGGTTTACTATCAGGACTCAACACTAAGACCACTATGTTAAGGTGACTTGAACAATTGTTCTGGGAAATTCTTGTGCCTGAGGATAATGTTGAAAAACAGTAGATAAATTCATTGTTTAACCTCAGAAAATTCCTGAAAACAATTTATTCATAGAAGAAAATGTCTTATCTGTGCAACCGTTCTATCAGAAAAAGAGACTGCATGCCTGGAAAAAGTCTTGCTTTTTATAAAACGTTTACTTATCAAGGCATATTTGAGGAACTTCACATTGCTATGCTCACCAATCCTAAATTATTTTGTAATTAATTTTGCCCAATCCCAATCTTAGGGCACAGGAGAGGTTTCTTGCCAGTGTGACCATGGAGGCACTGACGGTTCTCTTGGCAAGCCACTGCACCTTGAGGAAAATGAGAACAGTGAAATAAATGAGGCAGCTTGACGAATTATGGAGCAACTTGTTCTTCATTTTAGTCAGCTTAAAAATGAGAATCATTGTATTTGCATTTTAATGTTTTTGTGAGAACTAAATTAGATAATATATTTAACATGTTTAGAAAAGTGCTAAGCATCTAGTAATTCCTCAATAAAAGTTAGAATTATTAATAATTCAACATTTTTGGTAACTACTAAGGTACTAAAAATACCCAAAAACATTTTTCAGGCTCAAATTGTATATTTGTTAAAATATGTTTCAGGTGGCAACGTTTAGTCACAACGGTTGCAGAATTTCAGATTGCGTTTATTACCTTGCCAATTATTATCTCTGTCAGTATAGTCTATTTTAAGCTTATAGATTGAGTACTATACTTCGGTGGTTTTTAGGAACACTATTTGAGAACTGATTCACTATGGAAGAATGAAAATCATAAACTACATCTCCTCTCAGACATAATGCTCTAAACTGATAGTAAAGTGGGTAGTGATAGTACCCAATAGGAAAAGTACCATTGAAAAAGCATGAAATTTAGATTATTTTTTAAGCATTTGTAATTGAATGCAATCTCCAGGGAAGTCAACTGGAAAAAATGTTCTAGTTTAAAAACATTAGGATGGGACATCTGTAGGGTTAAGAATAATTTTGGATGTGGGGGACAAGCTGGGATCAACTGATACAAGGGCCAAGAAAGGCCCCTGGGAAATTGTCCGATTGATTAATTTTAGCAAAACATTCAGAGAAGCCAGGTTTCTTCTAGTTTTTGAAGCTCAGATAGCTCTAGGATTTCCCTGTAATATAAAATATGTTCTTGAGTTTAAGAGGCAAGGCTGTGAACCAAGTATCTACACAACTAGGCAGTATGGGGAACACTCTACTTGTACTTTTAAGCCATAACATAGAGGACCACCCTCAAAATCCTCACCAGCATATTGAGTTGAGAAAAAAAAATAGTGGAGAAGAAAAATCATTAGTATTCACAGCTAACACTAAAGTGTACATTTAAAAAATGAGAAAAAACTAAGTGGATTAGAATTTGAAATGTATTAGATTTTCTAGATATAGGGTTTAAATAAGAAAATTGATTGCACTTCACATACTAGCAATAAATTGTAAGAAGAAATTATATTTAAACAACCTTTTGTACCAGTAAGAAAATGATAACATAACTAAGATGAGTGTAGTAAAAAATAGGTAGGATCTTTGTGAGGACAATTATAAAATGCTACTAAAATATAATGAAAATGAATAAATATATAATTTCTTCTTAATGTATTTAAGAATAAATTATTTCATAAATATTCTCCAAATTTAGCTATAAGCTTATGCAATTCCAATTGTAACTCTGATCTAATTTTTTAAGAAAATTAACAAATTTATTTAAAAGCTTATTTGGAAAAGCAAAGATTAATAATAACAAAAATGAATTTCAGAAAAAAATAACTGTGTAGAAAAATTATTCTGTCAGATACTGAGGCTTATTATAATGCTATAGTAAATCAGAGAATATGGCATTGATCTATATCTATATCTATTAGATAGAGAGTGATGAAACAAAGCCCATAATCTATAGAACATATATAGATGAAATTGTCAGGCCAAATTAGTGAATAAAGAGTATACCATTCCAAAGTGTTAGAATTGGTTATTCATAGAGAAAAAAAACAGTAAATCATTTCATAGCATTCACACAAATACATTCTGAAGGAAATAATGAAATGATCTAAATGTCAAAAGAAAAATTTTCTTTAGAGAATTTGTTTCTAGCCACTGCCATACACACTTACATTATCTGGGACAAAAGGATTTCCCTCTGAGAGGTTTAGATGTGAGTGGGCTGGGAGCAGACTCCTAGATTACTGGCCGATTGTAATAGCAGACCATGTGAATAAAGGGCCAAATACTTGAATGCTTACACCCTTAGGATTTTTCTATTTTCTTAAGTCCTGAAGCATGTTGTTTACTTTATCATGGAATTTAGAGTCCCTTGGACATTTTGGCTGAAATTCTTTTTCATTTGAACTAACGTGCAGATTTTAATCTCTGGATTCATGTATTTATCATTCACATTTTATTTTCACATTATCAGTGAGCTAGTCCCATTAAAAAAGAAGCTGGTAACAACATTAAGGACAAAAACTCAATAAATTTATTCTGAAATTCAGCTTAATCCTCCCAATTGCATTCCTTTTTTGATACTTTATTGCATATATTTTGTGATAAACTACCTGCTTAGCAACATTTCTGTTTTAAGTCATAATGATGCATTAAATTTAACCTGTTAGAGATTATAAATAATTCTTGCAATTATTATAACTTTTAATATATTTTTCCAAGTTGGTTTTTTGTTAAAATTGATATTACTAAAATCATTTTACATAATAATAAAAACATAGAAAATTATTTCATAAAGAAAATATTTCTTATTGAATCAGCTTCTTTTTATTTATTTTCTGAGTTATTTTCCATAAAAATTTACAAACTCTGAATAAATTACTAAATAAATTGTGGAGTGTAATATGAATTTGCATTTACCTTTTATTTTTAAGTGTTTTATTGATTAAATAATGTGAGTAATGAT
The DNA here is from genome assembly GCF_000001405.40 of Homo sapiens. Lineage (NCBI taxonomy): Eukaryota > Metazoa > Chordata > Mammalia > Primates > Hominidae > Homo > Homo sapiens. The sequence continues at coordinate 103,353,127 of NC_000006.12, read as the reverse complement.
GTTACTCACATTACTCATATTCTTCTTAGTAAATCACATATAAAAACACTAAAGACTACATTTATGAAATATATAAATCTAGTATATAACCTTCACTTTACTTTGCTAAAATTTAACTCAGGACATGTATTGTGAGTAATTTCTACAGTAAAAGTAATTAAAATATTAAAGTAGAAATGCTACATATATTGCCAAAAATGGCAATATCTTATCATTTCCTATGGTTTGAACGTCTCATCCAAAACTCATGTTGAATTGTAATTGCCATTGTAACAGTGTTGGGAGGCAGGACCCTTAAGAGGTGATTAGGTCATGAGGGCTCTGCCTCCATGAATGAATTAATGCTGCTATTTGGGGAGTGGGTTAACTATATTGGGAGTGAATTTGTTATCTTGGGATTGGATTCCTTATAAAATGGATAAGTTCAAACCCCTTTTGTCACTCTGTCTAACAGAGTCACTTGCCCTTCCACCTTCCACCAGGAATGACAGCATGAAGGTCCTTGCCAGATGCCAGTGCATGCACTTAGACTTTCCAGCCTCCAGAACCATGAGCCAAATAAATTTATATTGAATATAAATTACCCAGTCTGTGGTATTTTGTTATATCCACACAAAATTTACCATGACACCATTTATAATATGCATACCTAAAGATAACTATACATCTATAGTATATTTCTGTCATTTGATTGCCTTGTTTTTGCAATTCCAGTGACTTTATGAATAATTTTTCCAACATCAATAATGAGATTTATTGCTGATGAGTATAATCAATAAGTATATATTGGCCACCCAAGTGTGTGTGAAACATTCTGCTAAGCTTGGAGATAATGTGTTGGATAGACTTACAAGGGACCAGGAAATTTGTATTTGTAAAGAATAGTCAGTAAATAGCTCTATGGAGAAGTGTAACAGAAGTGAATGCCTGAAGGCTGAAAAAGAGTATACCTTGTATATTTTGCAGAAAACCTCCAACAAAAGGAATAGCATGTTCAAAGACCCTGAAGTGGGGAAGGTAATTAGGCATAATTCAAAGACTGCAAAAGTAGTGCATAGCTTGGAATCCTGCAAATGTGAGATGTTGCACTAAATTTCACATTTTTATGCATCATGTATTTACAATTAAAACAACACATTAGTGCTGGAGAAATGTTATTTAACAAAAAGAAAAAAAGGAAAACAAATGAAGAAAGGAAGGAAGAAGGAGATGAAGAAAGAAAGAGAAATAAAGAGGCAGGTAGGGAGAAAGAGCCACTGCTTTCTTAAAGCTAAATTTCTAATAATGGCTACTAACATTAAACAATTATCCCCACAACAATAATTTAACTTGGTACTATATAGAATTCTGAATGCTTGTCTTCAGGCAAAGTAAAAGATATCTCAACAGAAATAAAAGTTAAGTTGTGCTAATTTTCTTGAAACGTAAGATATTGTTTTAACTTCATTTGGGCTTCAAATCTTCATCCATCCAATATATTTATTGCTCTTGAAAGCTTTTAAATTTACTTTCATTCATTACTTTTCATTGGACTATTGTTAGTTTCTGTTATTGTTACTAAATCATCCATATACAAGTGAAAACATGGCTACTAGAGCTTAGATCCAAATTTTCTCACTTTTTATATGCTTGAAATCATAAAGAATAACCAGGAGAAAAATGTCAGAACATAAACATTTCAATAAAATAGTAGAAAGCAAAACTTTTCAGACCCCAAATTACATAAAGCTGTGGAGTAAAGCAGTTGGCAATATCAGAGCATTCATGGGAAGACAATGCTGTGGCCATACAACAGTGAATAGCTGGGAAAATGGAGAAGGCCTAGCAATCAATGGCAGAAATCTACCAGCCATAACCACTCTGAGTGGGCAAATTTGCAAACAGGACAAAGTTCTATCTTGACTACTTTTAAATAGAGAGCAGATAAATAGAGCAAGAAACTAACTGGTGGGAGTAGAGTGTGAAGCACAAACGTGCTAAATCTAAGAAATACACACATACACACACACACACACACACACACACACATACAAGTCCCACTAAACTACTACCTCCCACAAAGGAGGGCAGAATTTACTAAGCAGGAGTTCTGCCTTATAAGAGAAGCTTTGGGCGAAGGAAATTTTGGAGCTCAGAGATGGCTGTAGAAACTCCTTAACTAATTGTGTTTTGAGAGGCAAAAATATTTTAATAAAATTGCCTGTCCCTTTAGAAATTACAGGAAGAGCCCTGGAGCATTGAAACCTATACAACTCTCCTGGTCCTTCTCCTTCCCCTAGAAATCTTCTGTTTAAACATGGCCAAGAAAAATCCAGTTGCATAATTCTAAATAGTCACAAAATATCATGAAAACAGGTAAGAAAATGTACAAGAGAGTCTCAAATCTTCCCATATGTGAAGAAAAGCTGTCAGAAAAATAACATTAAAAAGCAAATTCGGGCCCGAGTGAGGTGGCTCACGCCTGTAATCCCAGCACTTTGGGAGGCCAAGGCAGGTGGATCACCTGAGGTCAGGAGTTCAAGATCAGCCTGGCCAACATAGTGAAACCCCATCTGTACTAAAAATACAAAAACTAGCCGGACGTGGTGGTGGCGCCTGTAATCCCAGCTACTGGATAGGCTGAGACAGGAGAATCGCTTGAACCCGGGAGGTGGATGTTACAGTGAGCCGACACCACACCATTGCACTCCAGGCTGGGTGACAGGAGTGAAACTCTGCCTCAAAAAAAAAAAAAAAAAAAAAAAAAAAGCAAATTAGATTTAATAATGTCACAAAAAGTTAAATTTCCAATAAAGGAATTTTGACTCATTTATTGACATGTTTGACTCTTTTGGTGACATATCCAATTTAAATTCAGGACTCTGTAGTTTTACTTAACAACATCTGTATTACTTGTCTATCATCTTACTTCCACTCTACCATAAAGTGTGTAGATATGCAAGATCTCACAAAAACTAGCAAAAGGCAAACTGAAACCACCAAAGATGACATTTTCAGCAATATATTGGACATAACGTTGAATATAAGTAATTTTTAAAATACTTTGATGAGGGTAAGTGTGAAAAAAAGAAAATATAAATGATAAATTCTGACAATTTAGAAAATAATACATCTAAAAACAGGAGAAGAAAATGGAGAAAAGTCAAAAGGAGTAATAAGCTTATGATTCTATTCTGTAAAAGCTGGGAATCAGATGTGATTTACATGGAAAAATCATTCTAATTGAGTGTATCTAAGGAGTACACAAACATAAAATAAAAATAATGTCATGAACAAAATCAAGTTGCAAATAACTAGAAGACATGGAGAAAAACAAAGAATATAAGCTTATTTTATGATTATTTAGTATAGAGAACCAACATAAATAGTATCTAAAGAAAGACGGTTCTAAGTATACTATATAATGATATGTAGGCAAAGGAACTGTTAGACAAGAACGAATACTACTGATACAAAACATTCAAAAGGTGAAGAGAACAGAGCTTGTTTTAAAATGCTTTGTGTGTGTAAAATATAAATCATAATATAAAATGACAGAACTGAGACACAATCTGTTCTGGTTTTTCAATACGTGTAAATGAGCTTAGTTTATCTATAAAATTAGAGGAGGTCATACAGAAAAAACAAAAACAAAACATAATTTGTTTCTTCTGTATGACCTCCTCTAATTTTATAGTAAACTAAACTACAATAAACTCAACTAAAATTAAGTAATTCAAAAGTTAAATACCAGAGTTCATAAAGTTTATATCAAAGTATAAATCCTGTAAAAAAATAGAAAATTTGGAGTCCTGAAGTAGAAAATTTGGTTCTCAGAAGAGAACCACTGCGCCCAGCCCCATTTAGTTTTCATAAGATAGTGTAGCATGTATTAAGATTAATATAATCAGTATTTAAATGAGACCACATTTCTGTTGGTCATTAAACTCCCCTCAAGTATTATGAGTTAGCATACAGTTTGTTGAACTAAAAGTGGTATTAAATTTTACTTATCCACAGAAAATTATAAGAACTAAGAAAAGTCAAAATACGTGTAATTAATAATTGTATTCACATTTGGTTTTAGCTACCATAAATGTAAATATAATGATTTTAGATATGACCCACTCCTCTTTAAATTTCTGGAGGTTAGGCAGTTTTCTTATTGTTTAAATGAATTTCTATATTCAATAGATATCTTACTCTCATTGGACTAAACTAGGTAGGAATAACTCTCATAATGTGTTTAATATATATGTATGTATCTCAGCTCACTGCAACCTCCACCTCCCTGTTCAAGCAATTCTCCTGCCTCAGCCTCCTCAGTAGTTAGTTCTACAGACGTGGGCCACCATGCTAGGCTAATTTTTTGTATTTTTAGTAGAGACAGGGTTTCACCATGTTGGCCAGGCTGGTCTTGAACTCCTGACCTCAACCAGTCCGTCTGCCTTGGCCTCCCAAAGTACTAGGAATACAGACATGAGCCACCACGTCCGGCCTCTTGTTTGCTTTATTTAAAAAAAATATATATTAGGTTTCTTTCACTGTAACAGTGTCTTAAAAAGTATTGTTATTCCTTTCCACCATAGCACTTTACTATAACATTTTACCATATAAATAATTTATCAGATGTTTTTGATTTCCATTTCACAATATTAGTTAGAACATATTCACTTATCAAGTTTTTTTTTCATATTTGGATATTATTCTTACTCAAGGGATTAACTGTAGTTATTTCTTTATTTCTGGTGCTTGCTCTCTCACCAGCTGCCACTCTCCTTTTTTACTCACTACCCATCTTTATTCTATTCTTTTTCTCTGCTTGGATGACATCACCCTGATTTTCAGCGGCTTCTCTTCTAATTATGATCCATTTCTCCTGTATCTTGCACCTCTTGGGCTGTTTCTGTTTTGTGCCTTGGGCAGTAATCAAATTATATCAATATATTTGCCAAATGTGTTAACATTTCCACATTCCCAGAGTGACCACGGTTTTGGGTATCAGATAATAAATGGACTTTTTTTTCATTTTTATTTATTTTTTATTTTTTTGAGACGAAGTTTCACGCTGTTGCCCAGGCTGTAGTGCAGTGGCGCGATCTCAGCTCACTGCAGCCTCTACTTCCCAGGTTCCAGCGATTCTCCTGCCTCAGCCTCGCAGGTAGCTGAGATTACAGGCGCGCACCACATGCCTGGCTAACTTTTGTATTTTTCGTAGAGACGGGGTTTCACCATGTTGGCCAGGCTGGTCTCAAACTCCTGACCTCAGGTGATCCGCCCCCTGGCCTCCCAAAGTGCTAGGATTACAGGCGTGAGCCAGGGCACCTGGCCGAAAGGGACTCTTTTAATGCTAAGTTTAAGTAAACATTAGTAGGTTTAAATGACTTGTCAGAAAATAAATTATCAAGGTCAATAAGTACTTAAAACACGGTTTAAATTTTTAAAAACCATTAAAGAATTTCAAAAGATGTAATTAGAGCCTTTATTTAATTCAGAGCATATTTAATACAGCATGTAGTGCAACTATTCTAATCACCTTTTTGAATACTAACGTGGCAACTAGCACAATATTCATACTTTGGTAATATTGCCACTTTCCTTATTTATCATGTGAAACTGCCAGCTCATTAAAGTGCTACCTTCACACAATTAATTTACTGGCTTACAGATTAGAGTTATCAAGGAAGGCCATCCCTTCTCTGAATTATTCCTATTTTGTTGTCCTAACAGATTTCAATAATACTATCATTATATTGTGGCTATTGAGTCATATAATGTCTATGAAATTATTAGCATATTATCTTGTGCTATTAATACATTTTAGAAACGTGTTTTAGAATATAAAAAATCTTAACAATTTATTTTCTTCCCTTACCACTCACAAGATAATTACAAATGTTAAACATAGTTAAAGGTAGTATCTTAAGATAAAAAATCATTAGTGGATTGAAAACCTGTGGAATAATTGGCACTGACTGAAGTTTTTCTTTTGCTCCTTTGGAAAAAAAAAGTCAGAATTTTTCATATTTCTTTCATTAATTAACTCAATATTTGCTCCTTTTTATTTTGGACTAATCTGTAATGTCAAAGACAGTATTAGTTAAAATTTCAGGTTAACAAAACTTAAATTATAACTGAATAAGCTCAGTGAAATGATTTTTCGTAAAAACCATAAAAATTTTGCTTGTCTTCTGTCTAGGTAACATACAAAATTCCATATATAGTACACATATAGCTTTATTTTAATATTCTAACAATGAGAATTCAATTATTGAAAGTTTAAAACAAAAAATTTTGAGTCTTGGTTTAGTAAAGCAAGTCAAATGTCATGAGACACATGTCTTCTCATCAAAGACAAAATAGAATGTTAAAATGTTTTTGTAAGAGAAAGAAGATTAAAAAATTAAATTTAAATATGTTATTCAAATAATGTAAAAAATTTAAATAAAATTGTGTGTATATTTATTTCACTGTTATTCCTGAGTATCATTTGATCATTATTTTTGAATAGCAAAAAATAAGAATACCATTCACATTATAAACATCTTTATCACTTTGACATTTTTTGTAACATAGTTTTTTGACTCAATAAAATTATAATTCATATATTGATTGCTAAATTTTCCAGCACAAAACAGTAAACTATTCTCATAAAATCTGACATGAAAATTTTATAAAATATAAACATTCCTTCTAACAGACAACATATTTTAGTCTACTTCTACTTAGGAAGATATTGGGCTTAAACATTAAAAAAAAACCTTAATTGTTCAGATTCAGTAAAAGATGCACCTAACAGGGATTGGAAATTATTCTCCTACTTGAACCAAACCAAAATAGATGAAATACATAGAAAAATGGTTTTCCAGACACTAGATATCAAGAAATGAAAACTCGTGATCCCTAAGAAGTCGGAAAAAGCTGATAGAAGCCATAAGTTTGCTCCAGTTTACTGCTATGAAAGAGCTTCTGGCCATGCTGCAGAGTGTGGGAAAATAGGCAAAGCCCATGGAAACCCTGAGCAGAGGAGAAGCAGTGGAGTCAATGCTAAGAGGTGCCTGGAGCTCACACGGAAAGTACTAGAAATTAGGAAGCTGAACAGAGGAAACTCTGGCCATGTGAGGGGGTTCTCTTTTAAGTATTCAGCTTAGTACTGTTCACTGAATGTAATTAAGAAAACTAGTGGGAAATATGAATAGAATCATTGAAAGAACTAGAGGTAGTAATGCCCAAAGGTATACAGGGACAACAATATTTATTCATAAAAAATAGAAAAATGCAAAAAGAACACAAAATAGATTAATAACATTAACGAATGTTTGAGTCTGTCAAAATATCAATTTTTAAAGCAAAATAGCAGTCATTTATCATAAGATTACAGATTTATGATTTTAAAATGATATTGCTGCTTATATATATATATATGCAGCAAAATGTACTCAAAAACCTAGTTTAAATCAAGGATTAAACATTCTTTTCAAGATCTCTTGTTTTTAATAATCTATTTTAAATATCTATTTCATCAGGGTGGCCCTAGTTTATGTGATTCCTGGATATATAACCATTTAAGAATAGCCTTTTTGGTAGGATAGAAGGAAAGAGATGGCACTGTAAGAAGTTCATACTGGTTGGGAGATGGGTTTATTTTATTAATATGCCTCGTATTTACACATACCTAAAAGATCTATTCCTTTTGTTCAAATATTAAATAATAAAATTTTAAATAGAAAGAAAACAAAATGTTCACACTGGCTATGTGCCATAAGCATCTATATGTAGATAAGGAATCACTTAACATCTGTAAGCTTCATGTAATCTCACCATAAGGTTTTTTTAAATGATAACTTTAAGAAGGTGATATACAAAACTTATCAAATGAAAGCTATAAAAGGCAGGTCTACACAGGAAACAATGGAATATTATAGTTAGAAATACTGAATTACCTAAATAAGTGGATGCATTTATATTTTCATGAATTAGAAGTCAATTTTCTCCAAATGTATATAAAGATTAAATGCTATCAGAGTAAAAATGGCAGCAGGATTTTAGTAGAAATAGGAAAGCTGGCTTTGAAATATATGTGGAAATTCAGTTGTTGACACTAGCTGATAATTTGAGGAAGTACAAGGTACAAGAACCTAAGAGCAAAATGCAATATAAAGTGAAGTATTAAGACGTGTAAAATAGCGTGTGTTGAAATGGTAATTTAAATTAACTTGGATGCTTCAGTTATTTTCAAAATTTATCTTTGTTAACTATTCCTATTGTTTTACAGTGCTTGATACATGAGATGTTATAGCACTACTTTTCTAACAGTCTTTAACATTAGAAACAATTCTGTGGCCTTTTTTCATTCCTGTGTTGTTAATCATTAATTTCATCTAGAGCACAGAGTTTCTATAAGTGAGGCAATTTTTGCCACATGTATTAAACCTAGACTTAAGCACTTTGATAAAAAATAAAGCAGAAAAAAAAGACATTTAAAGACAAATATTTCATGTCTTTTTTATATTTAAATACAATAGCAAAATATTGGCTCTGCTTAGTCTAAGTACTGATATTTTAAAAAGCTTAATAATTACTCTGGCTAGATTTGACGAACTCCACTTCCCCTTCTTTAATATATTAGGAAATAGTATTGTTCACTTAAAGCTATTAAACTATGTTTCATGTTATTTCTTCCTATCCTGGAATGTCAGCCCACATACATTATTCACATGAAGCAGAGTGAACTTTAAATAGGGAGATTATACTGGAGGGAAATGAGAAAGCCATCATTCTCAGTTTTACCCCATACTGCTATTAAAGGTTACATAGGTGGTGATCTTTCTTTTTCCTACTTTTTTAAAAAAACTTTATTTCTCTTTTTTTTTCTTTCAGACTCTCTATCTTATTCCTTTTCATCTGCCATAATGTCCATACAGTTCTGCTTGTTTTCTATATTGTGTGAAGGAACTAGTTGCATTATTTTAAATGATTTACCATCTTCATGTTGTGAGCCAGACATTTAAATAACTTATGATGAATAAGGTATTGCATGCCGTAGTACTTTCTATTCTTTGTCTAGAATGTGATCGAGGTAAATTAAAGTCAGTAAATATGACAATAGTAGCCTGAAGAATTAGAACATCAAGTTTTATCCTTGTGTAAATTAAATCATTAAACAATGGCAATTGAAATAAAATCCCAACCGACCTTTCACTAAACAGTAAACTACACAATTATAGATGGTATTTCCTGACAATTATATGCCTGTTTATGAGCAAAATGTTTCTATAACAGCACTTCATATTCAATGATTGATAAACGCTTAAACACAAAGGGAAAACATAAACATTGTGCTTATTATTTAATATCAGTTTATGATTTATGATAACATATTTAAACTCAAACCATAAAATAAAAATACTGAAATTTATAGTTTTAAATGTTGATTGTACATATAAAAAGTAGTAGCACAATCTAGAACCTTTAAAATTGTTAACTACAATAATTGGTGTTACCCGTAATCACTGCATTTATTTGTCCTGATGATCTTTAATTGCTTCATGTCTGGGCATATTAGAAAAAATGTAAAAACCAAGAGTTTTGAAAAGTCAATAACTGATATGCATACTTCTTGAAACTCTTCCTATACATTACAGAAAGACAGTGAGTTTTAGTGGATAAAACAAATGCCTTGAGTAAGTACAGATCTGCTTTTTTTCATTCACTGGTATGAGTAGGGGCAAGTTATTTAACCCTAAAGTTCAGTTTTATCATTGGCATAAAGAGGGAATTAAAACAATCCTATATATATTTTCTATAAGAAAGAAGCAATAGAATGAAAATAAGTTCATCTGTTCTCTGTTTCCTTCATTTTCTGAAAATGCCCCTTTCTATAATTACTCTTACTTCCCTCCCAGTTCCATAACTATTTTTTTACATATTTTAATTTTGAATTTATTAAAGACAACTCTTGGCTTTTTGGTTTCCTAAGTCCTTTCACTTAAAGATCTTCAAATATTGCCTCTGGAACTACTTTTAGACCTAGTCAAATTTTTGAAATGTTGTGACAAGTATCTGTCTGATGAGTGGCATCTTTACTTGGGTATCTCATCATTACTTCGATTTCCTAGGTTATTACTGAACTGACTTGAAATGTTACATCCACACAAAATCCTTCACACACGTTTATAGCAGCTCTTTTAATATTTAAAAGACAAAAGCAACATTATAATATTATAGTGATGCAAATAAATGATTGCATACATTCATGTAGCCATATATGCATACATACACACATGCATCAGGGAGAGTAGACATGTCTCCCATGCAGAAGAATCCCAGATAATTTATGTAGCTATTCCATCTTATAGTAGAAGAAATGTAATTCCCCACTAGTTAGTGTGGGCTGTGAATAGTGACTTATTTTCAATGAGTATAGTACTTGGAGAGATCAAGTAGCTTTACAGTGGAGAACCCTCACCAACAGCCAAATAATCAAATAATAATCAAATAAATATCCAAATAATCAGGGTTAACATCAATGGTGATGTCATGTCTATAGTTTGTTCTCTTGATAGTAAGAGATGAAGAGCACTTTACCTCAGTGATCTTCCTGATCTTCCTCCCTAAAACACATAACCTCAGTCTAATCATGAAAAACAATCAGATAAATACTACTGAAGTATATTTTATAAACATTGGAAAAATATGCCACAAAACTACCAAGCTTATCAAAAATAAGGAAAGCCAGATAAATTGTTACAACCAAGAGGAGCTTGAAGTGACATGATGATGAAATATAACGTGGTATCCTGGCTAGGATATTGGAACAGAAAACATTCATTATATGAAGACTAAGGAACTCTGAAAAACTATGGACTTTAGTAAAAAACATGAAAAAATATAGTTCCTGAAATTGACAGGATCATAACATAATACTGGTAAAAACTCTCAAAAATTAGAACATGTATCACTGAACTGGAAACCTGATAAAATGATGATAATCATAGATAATATATTCCAGGAAACCTATTATATATACATTAACAATTCTAGAAAACAAAACAAAAGTGTAAATGAAGAAATGCATCATCATAGAAATAATAGATCATGCATTATTATAGATGAGAACCACATCTATAATATTATGGATTATATGTGTGAGTCATATGGATATGTGTGCGTGTATATATATACATATATATGTATATATAATCATTATTATAGATGAGAGTCACATCAGAAAGACCCATCTTCATATGTAACAGGACCTTCAAGCACCCAGCAAACAATGTAAAGAAAGACCTACACAGACACAATTTAATACAATTTCAGCTGGACAGCATGGCTCTTTCTTGTAAACCAGCACTTTGGGAGGTCGAGGCAGAAGCATCGCTTGAGCCCAGGAGATGACCAGCCTGGGCAACATAGTGAGACCACGTCTCCACAAATAATAATAAACAATCAACCAAACGTGTTGGTGTGGACCTTTGGTCCCAATTACTTGGGAGGCTGGGGCAGGAAGATCACCTAAGCAGTGGAGGTGGAGACTGCAGGATCACCACCGCACTCCAGCCTGGCTGACAGTGTGAGAAAATAAATAAAATAAATAATAAAATAAAATTTCAGAAAACCACAGGATAAAGTAAAGTTCACATAATTTTCATTAGGAAAAAGTCAAAGATCGTCCATACAGGAATCAGTCATACTGGCATCAGGCTTCTCATCCCCAATACTAAAATCTTGTGGCAAAATAGAAATACCCTCAAAACGCTGGTGACAAATAAAAACAGTAACAAATAAAGGGCAAAAACAAAAAAACTTAGAAAAACTAAATACGTGAACAGTGTGCATGTAAACAATAAAGTATAATTTAGAGAAAATCAAATTAAATGTTAATAAAATAATTACATTCAAAGTTTAACTCAGGTAGTGTTAAAAATCCATAAGATAGCTGACACATGGTTACAACTCAGGAATTTTTTTTTTATCCATTTGCTTGTGTCAGGGTTGAGACAAATGTATTTGTATTCTTCTGGGGGATAAGTGGGTTAGGGATAGTTCATTTCCTGTTTATCATTATCCTGAAGTTATAGCTTTTTACTGCAACAGTTTTCTAGGGAGGTCTTCTCTTTGACTCTGACCCCTAGACCCTTAACTTTGACTTCGGCAGTTATACCACATGAAGCCTTCAAAATTAAATCTCAAATTTACCTGTATCAACAAATACTTTCAAGTTAAAATAAACTTTAGCATGTGTTTGTCTTACTGCTCTGGATTCCTGCTTTTTGGTTTGATTTCGTTACTTTGATTTGGTAGGTCTTCTTATTTTTATTTTTCCAGTTACTGGAAAACATTTGAGGAGTTTTTAAAAAATATTTTTCTCAGCATTTTTACCTTTTTTAGTGGAAAGACTTTTGATAACTTAGCCTGTTACCAGAAGTTAAAATAATCTACAAATGCAAAAATCTTATTTCTACCTATTAAATACACAAAACTATTGGGGGAGTTAAGAGATGGATGAATCTAACACATTGACACCTTGCCTACTTTACCTCTCTATACCCCGTTTCCATTAGTATATTTATGTCCTCTGATCTTATGGGGGATAAGGAGCTAACTAGAACCATGCTCACATAGTTCACATAGTGTTTTTGGTATTAAAATTCTTGTATGGAATGCTTAAAAGCTCAGACTCTTGATTTTTCATATATTTTATTTCATATTTAATACTTCTCTATGCAAGATATTCTTTAATTTGATTTCTAAATAAAACTCCAACAACTTTCCCTCCTCCTGCAGAAACAAGCAGAAAAAAGAAAAAAGAAAAAAACAGGCAGGCTAGCAGGTATTATCCTGATCTTGAAACAATACAAAAAGAAGGCATATATAATTATAAACCTAAACGTAGTGATACAAATACATTTAGACGTGGTGAGGGAGGAAGTTGTGAGAGTTCTTATTAGATGGATCCTAGCTATTCCAATGATATCCAAGATAAATTTGTCCTGTTAGAATTAAGGGAATATAGGCATTATAAAAACGGCGATGAACTTAAGAGTTAAAATTGAGGAAAATGAAAGAGCGTCATCAGGTATAAAATGATTTATAGGCTATATTAAGGACCCAGCTAGAATGTAGATCAAGGAATGGTAGTTAATTCATACAGTTCTGTGAATTTTTTTCCTCAACACTTTTGGGAAACGGTTGGAAAGTTTATGGGTTAGATTGGTTGTCATTGTGGTTGTTTTGCAGAATGATGTTGGAAAGACAAGATGGAAAGAGAGTTCAGGTGAAGGACAGAGAGAAAATAATGTGATGGCTCATGTAGCGATATCTGAATAGGTAAGAAAATTAGGCCAGAAAAGCCATAAATATGAACAAATGGCAGTGATGTTATTAGGATTGGAGACTTAATGAGTTTTCACATTATGATTTTCAGTAAGATAATGAAAGAGCACAAAATATACACTTTATATATATGTATGTTAATTCCTGAGGCAAAATTTCATATCATTACATTAAATTAATGACTCCTTAAAAATAAAGTTTTAACCAACTTTATTTTTTTCTTTCCACAAATTCGATTGCAGGTAGTTTATTGTCATAGTTAACTTTTAAAGCAAAGTGTTTTCACCTTGTACTCCATTTGATTATCAGCACTCTGGAAATGGATGATTAAGCATGAACAAAAATAACTTCACTGGTTACATTACTAATTATTGTTCATGTCATGAAACACACATTTGACCTGAGTTAGTATTCAGTTACTGAGAGAAGGGTTTTGCTTGTATTTGCTTTAAAAGTGGATGCAAAGAATGAATTGGTACTCTAAAGTGTGAAACTTCTAGCATGATTTATGTCTAAAATCCTCTGAACTAATTTTGTCATTATATCACATTAACACTAATTGAACAGACTCAGATTTAGAGTCTTGTTGTTTGTAGATGAAACATAATTTAAATTCCAAGAAATGCAGACTGTCATCGCTTCTTATGTTAAATTAAATTGCTAGAAAATTATGCTGATATGTCTTAAAGTAACTAGAACTTTACAACTAAAAACTTTCTCTGAAACATTTAAGGAGTAATCACAATCATAAGGCAACTATTTGTAATCCCAGCATTTTGGGAGGCTGAGGCGGGTGGATCACCTGAGGTCAGGAGTTCGCCGGCAGCTTGACTAACATGATGAAACCATGTCTCTACTAAATACAAAAAAAAAAAAAAAAAAAAAAAATTAGCCGGGCGTGGTGGCACATGCCTGTAATCCCACCTACTTGGGAGGCTAAGACAGGAGAATCCCTTGTATCTGGGAGGCAGAGGTTGCAGTGAGCCGAGATCGCGCCACTGCACTCCAGCCTGGGAAACAAGAGCGAAAATCTGCCTCAAAAACAAAACAAAACAAAACAAAACAAACCTGGTTGTATTACATACAGCTCTAGAACACACAGGAAAAAGAATAGTATAAATGTTGGCTTTTGTTCTTCAGGAGCCTTCAAATTTAAGCCCTGTTTTAGACTCATATTCTGGGACTATAAAGAAGAGAATAATATCAGTAAAGCAAAATCTAGTTGTAAAAAGCTTTAAAAAACACACACATGCTTATATATATAATTTACGAAAGCCTTCTTTTACAATGGCACTTCTTCCCTAATTTTCATGCTTCTGTGAACATCTGATATACTCTCCTCAAAAATGTTTATTTCCTCCTAAAGGAACTAATAGAGAGCTGAATCAATGCCATATTTACAAACTAGATTGTCGTAGGGGGTTATCCAGGGTTTTGGTTATTTTTACATTTCACTTACTAGGTTATAGCATTTCTTTTCAGAAGTAATTAGGTAAGGCCAATAGACAATAATTACGACAGAAATTATGGACAAAATCATAGTGTTCAGGTATTCAGAGATACCTTTGAAATCAACTCATATAAAGATACAATGGAAAGAAGTTTTCTAAAAATAAGATCTTGCTTTCTAAATCTTTTTTTGTTGTTGCTATTCAGACTTGAATTATTATTGAAAGGTCAGGTTTCTATTATATTAAATAAATGTTTACCTAAATGGAAACTTTTATCTATAATTAAATAGGACTTACAGCATGCACTTTCCAGAAATATTATAAACAGAAGCATCAAACTTTTATCATTTTGACCATCATTTTAAAAATCAGTCAGATGTGTTTATGTAGGGTGTTATAATAAGAAAGTCTAAAAATAACATATCCAGTTTAAATTCGGTGTAAGATTTAATTACTTTCCAAATCAAACATGTATTTCAATCTGGACTGGAACACATTTACATAATAGTTTATTCCCAGCAAATAAAGTTGCATGAAAACACTGCATATAAACCACAAAGATATTAATATAAAATTACAATTAATTTGAAAGAGTTCTAATTCTATTATAATAACAGAATTGTTTGAAAATGAACATTTAAAAATCAGGATAACTTGAAGTTTATTTTAAATTCATATTCTATAGAGCTTCATAGATTAATTATATTTTAGTTTCTACTACTGTTTTCATAAATTTTAGCATTAATAATTTTCTTTGAGCAAAAAAAACTGCATTCTTTCTTTTCTGAGAATTGGAAATGCTTTGTTACAAATAAGCAAATATTTTAGGGTTTGAATTACAAGAAGTCATCTCTCTTTCCATTATTCTTTCTATGAACCCGACAGAAAATAAAACTTCTGATAAATCCATTACTTAAGCCTGGAAAGAAATAAACGTTTAAAGATAACTGTAATCTTATTATTGGTCAATACATTTAAAAAATATTATGGGTGAAGTCAAACTTTAAATACCCTTTAAAATATTTACCCATGTGGAGTATGCACATTTTATTTTCTATACTTTCTCTTGTATATGGGTACATTCTTTTTCTGTGTTTGCTGCCACTACCCACATTTGATAACCATTTCTTTTTACCTGGATTTTAATTATATTCTCTTTAGATATCCCCACTCCAGCGATTTTACTCTTGATTGCCTTTTCCCAGATTTAAACATCCTTAGCCAATTAGGAATCTGTTCTCATATTCTCTATAGTGACTTCTCTCCATTTATTAGAATTACTCTATTTCTAGACAATCAGATCACCCCTGGGCAGCTTTGCACTATATCTTTATTCTGATTTATTTCAATTTTAATTCTACATTATTTTACTATATAATATCTTATACAAATGTGTTAGTGAAAGTCTGATTCTCAGTTGAATCACATTGTCATATAAAATTAGCCAAATTTACCTTTTACCCATCACAACAGCCTTATGTTGCCGCTAGTTAAAGTTTATTTTTTTAAATTAGAAATATCATATAAAAGGATATTAAAATTATTTAACCAAGCTCTTTTTACATACTATTTTCCTATAAATTAATTTTATTTAAACATTTTTATTCAGGCAATTACAGAGGAAACATGTAGATTGTCCAATTTTTACAATAAAATTATAAATAATTTATAACCCTCTAATCCATGACTTTTTATGTACTATAACTTTTTATTATTATGGACTATTTTTCTAAATAGTTGCTATTACCGGTAAATATAATACATTCTGTAGGTAATTATATCTTTATTTTTTCCATTTTAATGAGTTATAACTGAAATACAATAAATTGCCTATAAATTAAAAACTTGGACTAGTTTAACACAGTAGACAACTGCGAAACTATCATTAGAACTAAGGAAATGAACAGCTCCTTCCCCCAACAATGTTTCTGCATATCTTCCTGTAATCCAATTTTACTCCATTCCAGGCACTCAGTGATCTGGTTTCTGTCACTATAGCCTGCATTTTCTAGAATGTGTGTGTATGTGTATCTGTGTGTATGTGTGTTTACATATGTATATGTGTGTAAGTATGTAGGTCTATATATGAATACATATACATACATATATGTAATTATAGAGTTTTTTTGTTGGCTTCTTTCAGCACACATATTTATTTTGATATTAATTTATATCACGGATGTATCGATAGGTTGTTCCCTTTTGTTGCTAAATAGTATATTCCATTGCACAAATGCATTACAAGCTGTCCATTCACCTGCTGAGGTGAATGGCTTTTCGCCTTTCTTAGTAATGTTTTATAATATTTGAAAGAGAGTTGCCTTTTTCCTAATATCCAAAGTAAAAAATTCAGTCTTTCATCAAGTATGACTTAAGCACATTTTTACGAATTTATCAGTTTGATCAAGTTTCCTATTATTTCTAGTTTGCTGAGAATTGAAGTTTTTAAGTATTTCCTTTCTGCCTCTATTTAAATGATTATTTATATTTCCTTGTTTTGTTATTATGGTGAGTTCCATTAATACAGTTTGGATGTGTGTTCTCTCCAAATCTCATATTGAAATGTGATCCCCAATGTTGGAGGTGGGGTCTAGTTGGAGGTATTAGATCATGGGGGTGGATCCCTCATGAATGGCTTAGTGCCAACCTCTTAGTGAAGAGTGAGTTCTTGCTCAGTTTGCATAGGATCTGATTGTTTAAAAGAGCTTGGGCTTTCCTCCTTCACTCTGTTGCTCCTGCTCTCACCAGTCATGTGACACACCTGCTCCCCACACCTTTCACCATGGTTGGAAGCTTTCTGAGGCCCTTACGAGGAGCAGAGTCTGACGCCATGCCTCCTGTGTAGCCTGCACAACTAGGAGCCAAAATAAATTTTGACTTCTTTATAAATTACCCATCCTCAGGTATTTCTTTATAGCAACAAAAACTAAGACACACATACTCTGATTTATTGTCTAATGTTAAAATAACTTTGAATTTCTGTTATAAAACCTTCTTGGTTATGATGGATTATTCTTTCATATATTTTAATACAATTTCATTGAGTTTTGCTTTGTCTTTTCACACTGTTTTCTCTTGCCTTTGAGCATATCTTGTAATTTTTTGTTGAATGCCAGACATGATGAATTCAATATAAATGGAGGCAATTAGACACTTAGTTTGAGGTTTTTTTTGTTAATCTGGTTAGATGTTGTATCTTCCTGATGGATCGATTATTTTATCACTATAAAATGTTTCTCATTATCTCTGATAATATTTGTTGTTTTGAAGTCTATTTTGTCTGATATTATTATAGCTACTCCACTTTTTTTCTTTTACTTTTACTTTCAATCTACTTGTATCTTTGAATCCTAAGTATGTCAGCTATAGATGGCATGCAATTGAATCTTGTGTTTTAGTTCAGTCTGACAATCTCTGGCTTTTCATTGGATTGCTTAATCAATTTATATTTAGTGTTACTATTGATATATTTGAATTTACATATGCTACATATTCATTGTCTGTTTTCTATATGTCTCATGGCTTTTTCCCTGTATTTCTTCTTAAATGCTTTATTTTGCATTATTTCCTAAGGTAGAAGTTTAGTTTATTTATTTTATTTTTTTACTATTTTTGGGTTATTAGTGGTTGTTCTAGGATTTACCATATACATCTTAACTTATCAGATGAAGCTTTAGAGTTACACTAACTTAATTCTAGTATGATATAAAACATTATTCCATAGATTTCCATTCCCTTTCCTCCCTTTTGTAGTATTACTGTTATGCATATTACATTTATGGATTTTTAAAAAATCAGTGATTCTTTGTCATAATTATGACTTTATATATTTTATGTGTTTTAAAGAAGCTGAGAGAAGGAAAGTACATATTGAAAGATTTTTGTTGTTAATCTTATTTATAATTTAATGTATCTTTATTTCTGTGGACTTAAGTTTTCATTTTGAGCATGTTCTTTTGTTAGTTTTAAAATAATACATTTCCATTTTTAGGGAAGTTTTAGGTTCACAGCAAAATTGAGCTGAGAATGCCCAGAGTTCTCATATACTCCATGTCTGTACCCATGCACGATATTCTCCACTATTAGCATCCCATAACAGAGTGGTACCTTCATAACAATTGAGGAACCGACATTGACATATCATTATCACCTAAAGTTTACAGTTTTTGCTTACTTTAGAGTTACTTTTTGTGTTGTACATTTTATGGGTTTGGACAAATGTATATTGACATGTATCCAGCATTGTAGTGTCATAAATAATAGTTTTTTTGCTCTAAAAATCCTCTGTTTTCCTATGTTCTTCCCTCTCCTCTAATTTCCAGCAATCACTGGTCTTTTTTTTTTCCTGCTAAATCCATAGCTTTATCTTTTCCAGAATGTCATATGGTTGGAATGATATAGTAGGTAGCTTTTTTGGATTGGCATTGGCTTTGTTTTTACTTAGTAATATGCAATTAAGTTTTCTCCATGTCTTTATATGGCTAGATGGCTAATTTCTTCTTAAAACTGAATAACATTCTGTTGTCTAGATAGACCACTGTTTATTTATCTGTTCACCTAGTCAAAGACATCTTGGTGCCTCCAAATTTTGGTGATTAAGAATAAATCTGCTATAAACATCCATGCACAGGTTTTTGTGTGGACATAAGTTTTCACTCCTTTGGGTAAATAACAAGAGGCATGATTGCTAGATTGTGTGGTAGTAGTCGGTTTAGTTTTGTAAGAAAGCTGCCAAACTATCTTCAAAAATGGCTGTAGTAGTTTTCATTCCCACTAAACATATGAGAATTCTTGTTGTTCCCCGTCCTTAACAGTATTTGGTGTTGTCAATGTTCTGGCCATTCTAACAGATGTGGAGCAATATCTCATTGTTTAAATTTACAGTTCTCTAACAACATATATGTTGAACATTTTTTTCATATGCTTACTTGTCATCTATAATTTTCTGTGGCATTGTATCTTTCAGGTCTTTTGCCCAATTTTTAATCAGGTTGTTTTCTTGTTGCATTTTAAGAGTTCTTTGTGTATTTTGAATGATGACCTTTCATCAGATGTGTCTTTTGCAATTTCTTTTCTCCCAGTCTGTGGCTGGACTACAGTTTAGTATGTATTTTCAATTAATCTATCAATCCTTTATCAACTTTCTTTTACCACAACTTTCACTGTGTCAATATTCTTAGGTTTGAACTTCTTCATACTCTGTTGCAAATGAAGTCAGTTCCTGTGAGAGATGTTTGGAACTCTCTGGGTCCCCTCACTTTCTCCCATCCAATAAAATATCTGAGCCACAGCTTTAGTGCTATACATGGGGACAGTGGTGAAACGGGAGAGTTCCTTTATTCCCCTCGCAGGACCTCAATAGGGGTGTGGCTCACTCGTTCCAGTACGCTGCAACTCAGTTCTGCAGAAGGGCAGGTGCAGAAGCCTGTGTGAGCACTTTTGGGCTCCAGCCCCATGGCACTATCTAAGGGTGGGTGTCTGCAACTCCCAAAGCCCTAGTGGGTGTGCCTTACAAAGCTCTTTTAGATTTGCTATCTGCAGATGGCTTGTGTGTCAGTGGGAGGGGCCAGTGTGACAGCCTTCTGTATCCCGGACTCCCGGACTCGTGCTCAGTGTCCCAAAAGAATTCGATCACACGCCAGCCCGAAGGATGAGTGCAAGGTTTTATTGAGTGGTGGAGGTGGCTCTCAGTAAAATGAATGGGGAGCCAGAGGCGGGCATGGAGTAGGAATGTGGTCTTTTCCTGCAGTCTGACTGCCCAGCGGCGGGACTCCTCTCCAACCGCCCCCCTGGCAGAACTCCCCTCGGCATCCAGATATCCCTCCTCTTCTCTCTTTCGCTGTCGTGTTGTTCCACCGTCGCTGGTCTGCGGGTCCACAGGTCTGCTGGTCTGCTGGTCTCGACGTTCAGTCGCTTGTATATGTTCCCACTAAGGTCTCGGGTTTATATGGGCACAGAATGGGGGGGAGTGTCAAGCCAGAGTGATCTTGGAAAATGCAACATTTGGGCACCAAAACAGGAGTGCCTGTTCTTACTTAGGTCTGCAGGCAGAGGCCCGAGGGTGGAGCCCTCGCCAAGGACCCCGCACTTCTCTACCAAGTGCTTCCCTGCCCCCCTCCCTTATTAGTTGTGTACTTAACTCTAAGTGAAAAGCCTTTGGAAGCTAAGCACTTGATGGAGACGGGGAATGATCAGGTTTTTTTTGGCTTACTTTTCTTGGCATGGAATCCCTGCTTCATGAGCTCCAGCAAGACTGTTCCCACAGCATTGCATCTAAGGTAAGCCTCTACTGCATGAGTAGGGGCCAGGCAGAGAAGAAGGAACTCTCATGTCTTAACCATTAATTACCCAGAATATAGCATTAGCAATGGATAGATGGGCTTATGCTTATTATCTGCTCCTTCCAGAAAGATAGCCCTCTGACTGGGAGCTTAGGAGAAAAGGACCCCAGTGTTTTTGGCCGTACCAAACCAGAGTGGAATTTTTATCTCATTGAGCTGGAAGTGGGAAAAGAAGACATGTGTCATGGTGCAAATAGCACAGATTCTCAGAGTTCTTTGCAAATTTTAATGGATGTTCTTGAATAAATATTTATGTGATTTATGTTCTTATAACTATTTTGAGAATTTCTAAATGGTTTTATGTTTTTAATTTTCATCAGTTTCACTGTTCAGTTGGTCCACAGAGCTCCTCACACTGTCATGGAGGAAGTAAAACTCCTACTAACTCCTTTTAATTGTGTTTTACCAAAGAACTGGTCTGTGACATGCAAGGAAAAGACAAGACTGCGACAAATACTTTAGGAAGCATTGCGTGAGAAAGTTCCTTAATCCTTAGATAACACTTTAACGTTGTGTCTGCAAACAAAATTATTTTGAAATGTATGATTGAATTAGCTTCATCAATCAAAGAAAGGGTCAATGGGATCAGACAACCTTCTCTGACTTAAAAAAAAAAAATCTTTTCAGTCAAAATTCCTAAAAGATTATGCTGATAAAAACACAGTTATAGTGAATTATTTTCAACTATTAAAAGGATGGAAGGAAACAGAACCAGACGTGATAGATAATCCGGGTTTTAGTCTTGATTATTTCTCTAACTGAATGTATGACCGTGGAGAAAACAATCACATTTTTGTTCTTCATTTTATTCATTTGTAAAATAAAGGAATGGAACACGCTTGTGGGCCAGATTTGGATCCTCTTTATGTGGATACTATTTACTGTACTAACTTCAAACACCATCTCCTTCTGGTGGATTGTATGTACTTTGTATAGGTATGAAGTAGAGTTTGGTAAATACTTCTGGAATATTACTTACTTCATTACATCAAAATAATTTGTTCACTTGACTCTTTCCCTCATGAACTCTCATCTTATAAAAGGCGGGATTATCTTCAGTGAAAAATTTAAAGAATATATTTTATATAGGAGACACTCAACTCTATTAATTCAAAAGTTTAAATTAACTGATTTTTGCCTACTTTATTCACATTTTCTAAAGCCTATTTCTTATTACGATTTGATATATTTTAGAAATACTTCTGTCTCATAATGATTCACCTTTTTAACTTCTTTAAAAATTAGATAACTTTAAACCTTGACCTTTGTCTTTTTGGCTACCCTTTCTTTCCATTTTTCCTAAGACATGCAGCTACACTTTTCTATTAAGAATTACTATTCAACCGTGCTGTGTATAGAGGGTATATTTTCCCAACTTTCTGGTAAATGGTTTAGAAAGGACAAATACAGAAAGTTCAGAGAAACAGGTCAGGAGGTTATTCAGCTAAGATTGCAAGGAAAAGTATTTTGTTAGTATGTCACTATTTTATAGCAGTTCCAAAAACAGAGTTTAATCTTTGCTGGTCAGGACACTAAACTTACATATTAAGCTATAAGTTGATCAGATAATCTTTTATCAATTTTCACCCAAACCTAAAAAAATAAAAAATATTTTTAAAATTCTACCCCGTTGAATTCTATAGTATACAATGGATGAATAAAAAGTGTTTTTGCAGCGGGGCGCGGTGACTCACGCCTGTAATCCCAGCACTTCGGGAGGCCAAGGCGGGCGGATCACGAGGTCAGGAGATTGAAACCATCCTGGCTAACACGGTGAAAACCCGTCTCTACTAAAAATACAAAAAATTGGTCAGGTGTGGTGGCGGGCGCCTGTAGTTCCAGCTACTTCGGAGGCTGAGGCAGGAGAAAGGTGTGAACCCGGGAGGGCAGAGCTTGCAGTGAGCCGATTGCACCACCGCACTCTAGCCTGGGCGACAGAGCCAGACTTCATCTCCAAAAAAAAAAAAAAAAAGGTGTTTTTCCATGGTTGGTAATTTTTTAGCACATTGTTTTTAAAAATGTCTAGACAAAATTATTTTATTTATGCTTTCGTACATAAATATATTCATTTTTCTTTGTGTTGGATTTGATAAACAACTGTTTCCTCAGTATCTTTTCTTCTTTCCCACAATTATTCCATTGGCCCAAATTCATGTGAGAGGTAGCAGCAACCAGACATTGGCGATAGTTGCGTTTTTTTCCATGTGTTTATTTCCATAAAAGGACATCAGTCCTCCTGCATTATTTCCTCCTTGTTAACACTAAAAACTATCTCCTCCTCAGATTCTTCAGAGAAATTTCAGAACTCTAACACCTCAGCGATCAATTCTTCTCAAAAGTAAAAATTTCATATTACGGGAATAATTGCTCAAAAGAGTTTACATTTTATCTTATAATTACAGAATTGAAAATTGAAAGCTATGACTTTCTTCCTTTGTAGGATAGATTTAATGGAAATATATTTAAAAGTTATGCAGTAACTAACTTTGTGATAATTAAATAAAAATTGCTATTTTTATTGTACTTATTCTACCGTGTTCATTCTTTGCTATTCATGAGGTACTGGAAAAAATCATTCAGTTCCAGTAGAAGACAACTCTCTTCTGATCACTCTGTGTTTTTGTTCATCCTAGTGACTATGAGACTCTTATATATTAATTATGTTTGATTTTCTACTTAGGAAGCAAGCAAAATTGGTGACACACTTCCAACCAATTATATGAGTTTAGGCATTTCACATGAGTTTATATTTTTCTTCTGAAGATAACCACAAATTTCTTATATAATATATTTTAATTTATGCATTCTACTATTTTTCAAATAATTATTAGATTGAGATGTTTATTAGAAGTTTATTGAAAACTGTAATATTGCTTCAAGTATCTAGAGAATGTCATTCTCAGAAATTCAAAGTAGTGGTCAGAAGATTGCTTGCAAGAGATTCAGAAAAGGAGGAGATTGATAAAGGGACCCCAAATTCAAGTTTTCCACACATCATTCAAAAGCCTTATTAATCAACTAACTGATATAGAGAACAAAGAAAGTTACTACTCTTCAATTAGCTTGATAAGAAAGACAGTTTGGCTATATTCATACGGACTGGATTTGGAGTTTAGTTCTGCCACTCACTTGCTGTGAAATACTTGGCAAGTCAACCAACCTTTCTGTATCTCAGTTTTTAGTTCTATAAAATTAGAAAAATAGTGAGACTAAAATCTACCTCATAAGATTTCTGTGAGTGTAACCACCCTCCTACACACTCAAAATGTTGAATAGAG
Source organism: Homo sapiens (assembly GCF_000001405.40). Lineage (NCBI taxonomy): Eukaryota > Metazoa > Chordata > Mammalia > Primates > Hominidae > Homo > Homo sapiens. The sequence goes on along the minus strand of NC_000006.12, from coordinate 103,328,740 downwards.
CTTGGTGGAGGGTGACTACTAAGTGAATGTCAGTTTTTTAATATCATTGGTTAAAGGATATATGAAATAATTAAGGAACTATGTAATTTTGCAGCGTACAAATTCATGTTGAATTGGTGGCACAAAATACATATGTGTGCCTGTGTTTTTATACATGTATAAATAAATATATATATATATATAATTGCTGTCCTATGATAGTAAGACATATTTAGAATATGTGAAATTATTATTTCAACTTGGCCTAAGAAAAAAGTTGGACAAAAGCAACTTTTTTCTATCATCTTAACATTTACAAATTTAGAACAGATACATTATATATTAGTTCACTTAAAAATTAATAAAAAAGCATGTGAAAGAATTTTAAATATTTGACTAGAAATATTATCTCTTAGCTATACTCTTGCTTTCTGTTTTCATAAATACATTAGTGAATCCTTAGGTGAATAGATCAAGGTTGATTATTAATTTTGTTTCAGTTTCTTTGAACAAGATGCAACATACTAAGTCATCATATAACGTGTATTATATAAAATGATATTTTTGGTTATAGTTCATGTTATAATAGTGGTTACATCAGCTGGCTTTGAGTTTATTACAATGTCTCCTTTTTCCAAGTTTATTAGAAAAAAAATTTATGTTTGCAGCATTAGCAACTAGTAGCAATCACAATGTAGTAGCAATCACAATGACTGTTTATGACCACATGATTTGGTTCTCAGCATGTTAATGATCCCTTAAAGAAAGAAAACCAATTTGAATATAATATGGGAAACACTTATCATAAAATCCAGTAGTGAAACACCATGAAGTTTAATCCATTTTTAATTTATGTGTTTTATGCTATAATTTCTAAGAGACTTGATTAGATTCAAGGGGAAAAAATCTTACTAAAATAAAAATAATGACTCACATTGAATAATTTTCCTTCCTCCAAATAAGCCATGATAATTGAAAATTGTGACTTTAGGGGTTAAGTTTAACTATCTTTAAAATGATCTTTTCATTGCTGACTAACTATTCAAGTGAGCTCTGATTTGAAACAGTCATCCTTTTTAAAGGCCTTTGACAAATATTACTAGGTGCCTTGTATCCACATTTCCAGTTCCGTTATTTGTGTCTGTGAGTTGGCTGTCAGAATGAAGTATGGAATCAGACTGGTCTTTTTGAGGCCATTCTGCATTGAACAAGAGATTGTAATCAAGTCCCTTTGTGTCTGATTTACACATGTAACATCTCCGGACTGTGTAAGGTGTTACTATTCCCAGTATCTGAAGATTAAAGCAACGTTTTCAGCCTCCTTTACTAGCACAAAATACATTTACTAAATGTTAAAAAAAAATGGAATGTGAGACCAAAGAGGTGCCAGTTCATGGATTCATTAAGGCTGGGTATGCACTCTGAGGCAGTGCTGCTTTTGCTAAAAGAGCTGTATTCCACTGTGGAGAGTCCCCTTCTGTGAGCAAGCTGACAGCTGGCTCAGTTCTGCTTCGACACATAGCTGCCCAGGAGTCCAGCTGGCTGTTTCTGGGGATGTGGTCAACAAGAGGACTGAGGAGATTTCAGTTAATCAAATTTCACACAAGCCAGTAAGTTTAATTCTGCAACTCCTAAGCAAAATCCTGCCAAGTCCACTTTATGTAAGTTTTGAGCTATGAACTTAAAAAGCTGCTGTGGCTGCTCTCTTAGGCAAAGGTTTTCTAGTGTTAAGGCCTTATGGAAAGGGTGCCTGTGCTATTTGTTTTTCAAACACTGGGGAACATATGAGAAGTGAAGTAGTGTCAAGGGAGAAATGTAATGTTGACTTCAATAAATCAAGAGACTTCTCATCATAAGCAAAAGCTATCAAGATGACTCAGTACAGGTCAACCCAGCTGATAATGAGATGGTTGTCTCTTTCATTTATCTGTATGTTAAGTGAAAGCCAATTGACTTCCTGGATATAGAAAGTCTACCTTCACAGTGGAGTAGTCAATAAGAGCAGAATATAACTGCTCTTATTGTGTCTAGTATGTTGCCCCTCCAATCCATCTTCCATATTTCTGTCAGAATGATTTTTTCCAAACATTCATTTAAGAAAGTAAGTCCTCTTTGGCTTCAAACTATTAGATGGTTTATTTTGTGCCAGTTTTCCTAAGCCTGACATTCAGTATGTTCACAACTAGATCTATTTAATTTTCCCAGTTTAATCTTCATAACTTACATCTCATTTCCAAACAAAGCACTCAAATTTCTAAGCAGCATGTATGTCTTAATTTTCCACAGCCTGAATTGGTTACTTCTTCATTTATGCAACTTTATGCAATTATTACCTTAAACATGATTAGTCATTTATTTGTAGAGTGCTTCCTATTGTCCTGGAGTTCCTGGAGAAAAGAGACTGCTTGAGAGACAATTTTTTAGTCATTACTTTATCAATGTTACCTTGAACAAAAGCAAAAATATTGTTGTTATTTGCTTTATATCCATTGAATAAATAAATTAAATGTAAATTTTAAGAAGAAAGAAAATTTTGATAGCAGGCCATAAATATTGATTGTTCATAGTCTTAATTAGATTCTTTTATAAAATGATCAATCAGAAAAATATTATGCAGGCAACTTACAATGTTTGGCATGAATCTCAACACATTTGGGGCTGATATTGAGTATTACATAACTTCACACAGAAATTACCCTTTATTTTTAATGTCAGAAGCAGGACATTCAGTTGGAAATATCAGGAGGTTGACCACTATAAATCTTATGCTATTATTTTATAAACCACAATCTCTTTTATGAGTGAGTTTGTACTATTGGCTTCAGCAATCCATTATTCTCATATTTTAAAATATATTAATTTAGAAGCTATGTTTCCTACAACTTGAAACACCAGTACCTCTTGGTGTTTTAAATTAGCAAAATATTAGTAATAGATACATTTATTTTAATTAACCAAAGAAAATGTAACACATAGTATTTCACAGTGATGAATAGAAGACTGGATATGTTGACACAATATTAACACATCGTAACTTAATGAAAACTAGATATCACATCAATCATGGTTGTATATATGCCATTATACTTCATTTAGGCATATGTTTGGAAAACGGTGACTCTAGTACACATACATAATGCATCATTATTTGATGTTGTAAAAAGATATAATTATCTTTGGATCTCTTTTCAGAAATTTGACAGTGTGATAGATTAATTGAAATGTTTTCCTTCCTTCCTTCTTTCCTCCCTCCCTCCCTCCCTCTTTCTTTCTTTTTCTTTCTTTCTTTCTTTCTTTCTTTCTTTCTTTCTTTCTTTCTTTCTTTCTTTCTTTCTTTCTTTCTTTCTTTTTCTTTCTCTCTCTTTCTCTTTCTTTCTCTTTCTTTCTTTCTTTCTCTTTCTCTTTCTTTCTCTTTCTTTCTTTCTTTTTCTTTCTTTCTTTCATCTCTCTCCTTTCCTTCCTTTCTTCCTTCTTTCCTTCCTTCCTTTCTTTTCTTTTTAATTTTTTTTTGCTTGTGGATATCCAATTGTTCCAGCACCATTTGCTGCTATCTTTTCTCTGCTCAATTGCTTTTGAGACATTGTCAAAAATAGGTTGCACATATTTTTTAATAAATCTACATCTTGGTTTGCTATTCTGTTCCATTGGACTATGGGTCTGTCTTTCCCTCAATATCAAAAAGGCTTGATTATTGTTGCTGTATAAAAAGTCTTAAATTTGGGTAAACTGATTTCTCTCATTTTATTCTTCTTTTAAATACTATGCTAGCTATTTTAGTTACTTGTCTTTCCATACATATTTTATAATAATCTGTATATTTCTAAAAGTAGATGAATGTTTGATAGGATTGTATTCAGCCTGTATATTAATTTGTAGAAAGTTATTATCTTCACTGAGTTTTCCAACTTATAAACATGGTATGTTTTCCCATTTATTTGTACTGTCTTTATTTCTTTCATCAATGTTATGTAGTTTTTAGTATACAAGTCTTTCAATGGCTTGTTAGATTTATGCCCATTTCATTCTCTTAGTGATTATAAAGGTATAGTACTTTTAAATTTGGTACTCTTTTTTCTGCTAATATCTAGAAAAGCAATGTTTTTGCTTATCTTGTATTGTGTGATATGCTCAACTCATGTTTCATTTTTAGGAGATATTTGTAGATTCCTTGATATTTTCTGCATAGATAATCATGTCATCTGCAAATAGGGGCAATTTGGTTTCTTCATTTCTATATGTATTTTATTTTCTTTATTGCTTTATTGCACTGGCTAGAAATTCCTTGTGGTGAGATAGCAAATATCTTTGTCTTATTCATGATCTTAGGGGAATGCAGTCAGTCTTTTACCATTATAATTTCCTTAGTCCATTTTGTGTTGCTCTAACAGAATATCTAAGGCTGGGCAATTTATAAAGGAAAAAGGTTTATTTAGCTGACAGTTCCGCAGGCTCAGAAGTACAAGAATGGTGCCATTGCTTGTTTGGCTCTGGGTGAGGGCATCATGCTGCTTTCACTCGTGGTGGAAAGCCAAAAAGGTGTGGGTGTGTTCAGAGATCATATGGCAAGGAAGGAAACAAGAGAAACTGAGGAAGCAAGACACTTTTAACAACCTGCTCTCTTGGGAACTAACCTATTCCCAAGAGGGTGGGTATCCGCTCACCCATGTAGGAGAGCATTAATACTCATGAGGGATCTGCTCCATGATTAAAAGACATCCTACGAGGCCCCATCCTTCAAAACTGCCACGTTCAGGATCAGATTAAAAAATGAGGCTTGGTGGAGAGAAACCACATACAAAGCAAAGCAATAATATTAGCTTTTTTTAAAAAAAAATTGTATTCTCTATAAAGTTGAGGATGGCCTTTGCTATTCTTATTGTTTTTAGAGTATTAACCATGTATGGATATTGAATTCTTAAGAATGGTTTATCTGCATCAATTCAAAATATCACGTGATATTTTTATTTAGCTTGTTCAAATAATAAATTAATTTTTTTCTAATATTGAGCAAATCTTGCATCCCTGGAATACACTCCAATTGGCCATTGCTAGAATTTGAATGTGTTCCCCAAAATTCAGGCGTTGGAATCTTAATCCCCAATGCAATGGTATTAAATGGTGGAAACTTTAAAAGATGATTAGCTCATGAGGGCTCTGCACTCATGAATGAGTTAATGTTATTGTGAGAGTGACTTTGTTGTAAAAGTGAATTTGACACCCACTTGCCTCCATGCTTTTTTGCCCTTACACGTTTTATCATGGGAAGACACAGCAAGAAGTCACTCACAGAACGTACTCCTAGATCTTGGACTTCCCAAACTTTAGAACCATGAGCCAAATAAATTTCTGTTTATTATAAATTACTTATTCTCAAGTATTATGTTATAGCAGCATAAAATGGGCAAAGACATTTATGGTGTATAATCCTTTTTATATGTTGCTGAATTCTATATGCTAATAATTTTTAAAGATTTTTAAAAATCTATATTCATGATGAACATTTGTCTGTTGTTTTTCTTTTCTTTTTTCTATTTTTGTATTGCTTTTGTCTGGTTTGCATGTCAGGATAATACTATATAAAATAAATTTGAGAGTATTATTTCATCTTTCTTTTTTGGGAAAATACTGTTTAGAATTGTTATTAAATCTTTAAATATTAGGTAGAATTTTCTGAAGAAATAATTTCAGCCTGGAGATGTCTTCAGTGTATTTTCCTTTTTAAGAAATTAAATGTTCTTAGTAATTACAGAGCTATTAAAGTAACCTCTTTAATATTGGGTAAGTTGTGACTGTGTTTCTTATTGAATTAATGTATTTCATCTCAGTTGTCAGATTTATGGTAGTTCTCCCTAATTAGCATTTTAATGTCTGTAGGGTCTATAGTGATACTTTCTGTTTCATTCTTGTAACTGGTGATTGGTGTCTTGTCTCTTTTTTTTTGTTTGTTATTCCTGTTAAAGATTGGAGAAGGAGGAGGGATAGCATTAGGAGATATACCTAATGTAAATGACGAGTTAATGGGTGCAGCACACCAACATGGCACATGTATACATATGTAACAAACCTGCACATTGTGCACATGTACCCTAAAACTTAAAGTATAATAAAATATATATATATAAAAAGATTTTACATTTTTATTGATAACACTTTTAATCTTTTCAATAAATCCACTCTTCGTTTCATTGATTTTCTCTGTTGTTGCTGTTTTACATTTTATTTATTTCTGATCTTATTTCTTTTCTTCTGCTTATTTGGGTTGGTTTTACTCTTCTTTTGCTCGATTCATGAAGCTTATATTACTGACTGACTTTATTTATTTTTCTTATACATAAAGTTAAGAATAAACTTCTCGGCAGTGCTTTGGCTGTATCTTACATATTATGATGTGCTATATTTTCATTTTCACATTTATTTCCATTCAGTAGTTTTTATTTTAAAATGTTTATTCACTCTTCTCTTTATCTTTTATGTCTTTGCTGAGACTTTATATTTCTTTATTAGGCTTTTAATTATTTATGTTTCAAGTATTTTCATAACTGCTCATTGAAAAATTTTTACATGGCTGGTTTAAAATCTTTCTCAGGTAATTACAATATCTCCAACACCTTGAAGTAGAATCTATTGTTTTTTTTTCTTATATTCAGTTTCAGAGATTCCTAGGTTTTGGTACGTTAGATGATTTCCAATTGAAATATGTGCATATTTGCTATTGTGTTGTGAAATCCTGGATCTTATTTGAACCTTATGTTTTAACTGGAATTTTTTTGTAACTTTGGCCTGGCAGGAAAAAAAAGGGCTCTGCCTCATTATTGCCATATGCAGTTAGAAGTCCAGGGTCCCCATTTGACTTCCACTGATAACAGAGGGGGAAGCTACTCATTATGTCTTGGTGGAAGTGAGAATTCTGGCTGGCCACATCTCTTGAATGACACCATGATGGGCTAGCCCTATTACCACTGGGGCATGGTAAAATACCTAATTCTCTTTTGCCAGCACTACGTGGATGGGGAGGAATGACACATTGCTCCTGGGTGTATATGGAAGTCCAGAATTCATGCATGGTTACACTGATACCAAATTAAGAGACAGTTGCATCAGTGGCCACTGGGGATAAAAGTCTCAACTCCCTACTTGGCCTTTTCTGATACAGCTCTCAGAAGTATTAGGAAAGCTTGATACAGCCTTGCTTGTTTGGAAGTCTAGTCTCCCCACATAGCCTTTTTCTGGATTGGGTGAGGATGGAAGCACATCCCACCTCCACCCCTGTGATTAGCTGAAAGAGAATGGCCGTTATTTAAAAGGTTTCTGCCTCGTTAGCTGCTCCTTTTCCTCTCTTTTTGCTAGTGAGAGCGGATAGTTAGGGAGATTTTCTTGTCTGCATCCTCAGTTACAAGTCTGGAATATAGGAGGCAAACAGAAAACCCAGTGAATTCACCCTCCTCATTCATTGAGGTCTCAAAGTCCATAGCTGGTTCCTCCTTTTAGGGTTTTCTTGTGTTTATGTTTTTTTTTTTTTTTTTTTTTTTTTTTTTTTTTTGACGGAATCTCGCTTTGTAGCCCAGGCTAGAGTGCAGTGGCGTGATCTCAGCTCACTGCAACCTCCGCCTCCCGGGTCCAGGTTCAAGCAATTCTCCTGCCTCAGCCTCCCGAGTAGCTGGGATTACAGGCATGTGCCACCACGCCCAGCTAATTTTTGTATTTTTAGTAGAGATGGGGTTTCACCATGTTGGCCAGGATGGTCTTGAACTCCTGACCTCGTGATCCACCCACCTCGGCCTCCTAAAGTGCTGGGATTACAGGCATGAACCACCGCACCCGGCCTTCTTATGTTTATGTTCTCTGTCCATAGGTTTTAGTTGTATTTAGCATGAAAAATAGAAAAAGTAGATCTATTCCATTTTACCAAAATCGTAAGTCTGTAAGTTAATTTTTAATACTTACCTTGTATCCTACAGCTTTATGGCTTTTAAAAAATATGTTACATATATAATCAGGCAAAAAATTAGAGAAAGTATTATTCATTTTTCTCCCCTTTTTAATTTTTGTTTTGTTTTTTTGTTGTTCGTTTGTTTTTCTTGTTTTTTTTTTTTTTTTTTTTTTGATGGAGCCTAGCTCTGTCACCAAGCTGGGGTGCAGTGGCAGGATCTCAGCTCACTGCAACCTCTGCCTTCCGGGTTCAAGTGATTCTCCTGCCTCAGCCTCAGCCTCCCGAGTAGCTGGGATTACAGGCATGTGCTGCCACGCCCAGCTAATTTTTGTATTTTTAGTAGAGACGGGGTTTCACCATGTTGGCCAGGATGGTCTCAATCTCCCCACCTCCTGATCACTCTCCTGTTACTTTAGGTAATTGATTTTTACATATTGTCCAGATTGTATGCTTGCTTTATGAGGCTAATCGCCCTTTAGGATCTTACTTCACCATTACTAGAAGTCAAAAGTCAGTAATCCATGTTTTAGTTAGGTACCAATCATTATGTTTTTGTCTCTTATTCTCAAACCTACTGTTTGTATTCTGCTTAGAGACATTGCTCCTGAAACTGCAAACTATATTTCTTTTGTGTCAGTAGACTCACTATTAGCTTTAATAAATAATGATCAGTAGAGGGAAGTTACAGTATACGTAGGAAGGAAGGGAACTGATTATATTCTCTGATGTTATTGCAAAATCATGTTGATTGTTGGATATTTCATACGACAATTGTATTCATTCTAATCTTTATCTTCTATTAGCACTCCCAAAATTGACTTTACCATGCTCCCTCAGAGATTTTTGCATCCTAGCAACCTATAGCTCAATCACATTCTAAAAGCTGCTGAGATATTGGCACAATATTATCTTTAGAGATTGGAGTCCAGATTCCAGCACCTTCCCTCCAAGATTCTATTCCTCCCTCCATTTTTCCTGGAGTTCTAACTGTGGTAGCTGCTTCTGCTGGTGCTATGTTTGTGTTAGCCTCTTCAGCCCTTTCTGATAGTTTAATTCTTTTAAGAAAGTTTTTAACAAATGTATTGTATTCAATTCTTTGTTTTAAAATAATATTCCTCAAAGACATCTAACATATTTGTTACATTTTGTCCATCTGGTCTATTCAGCATTTTGTCAATAATGTAGTGCACCATTGTCATAGTTTATGTTATGTTTCACAACCTCTGTAGATTAGAATATAGCAGAAAAGTTGTCTCGGCCTGAGATGGAATAAAGAAAATGTATTAAAGCTACATCAAATAAAAAGCAATTCCTTCTGAGAGTTATTGAAAATTGGAATAGAGAAACAACGTAACAACAAAAAAAGGTGTTTTCTAGATAAGTAGTTTTCTGTGTTAAATGAACTCTGTTTCTTTGCTACAATACAGACACCACATAGAAAAAACAGCTTGACATTTTCTAATTAAATGATTATGATATAATTCTTTGTATTTTAGTAGTACTAAGACACTATGTTAGACAACGAAAATACTTTACATTCCCTTAGTTCATCTGTGTTCAGTTACTAGAACCAATCTTAATGTACTAAAGATTTCTGGATGGCAATTCTTTTTGTTTACCTATGACAAAATGCCTACAATTTCTGCCATTTTCTTTCTCAAAGCTGAAAGCCCTAAGAGCCTCAATATCTTCAGTGTGTCCATTCAATATCTCAATGTCTATAATAAATAATATATAATAAAATACTGATGTTGAAGCAAAAGTTTAGTAGATGCATCCTTATCTCCTCTTTTGAACATCTTTGTTATTCTGCAGCAATTTAGTGTTTTATCTCTGTTAAACTACTACTCTTTGTTTGTTTAATATAACATTTAACATCAAATACATATTTAATTACAAGATGTGTTAGCCCTTTATCACACTGCTGTAAAGAACTGCCCAAGACTGGGGTAATTTATAAAGGAAAGAGGTTTAATTGACTTAGTTCAGCAGAGCTGGGGAGGCCTCAAGAAACATACGATCTTGGAAGAAAGCAAAGGAGAAGCATGGGACTTTCTTCACAAGGCAGCAGGAAGGAGATAGTTGCAGGAGTAACTGTCAAACACTTATAAATCATCAGATCTTGTGAAAGCTCACTCACCATCACAAAAATGGCATGGAGGAATCCATACCTATGATTCAATTACCTCCACATGGTCTCTTCCTTGACATGGGGATTATGGGGATACAGGAATTACAATTCAAGGTGAAATTTGAGTGGGGACACAGAGCCAAACCATATCATTCCACCCCAGTCCCTCACAAATCTCATGCCCTCACATTTCAAAACACAATCATGCCTTTTCAATGGTTCCCCAAAGTCTTAACTTATTCCAACATTAACCCAAATGTCCAAGTCCAAAGTCTCATCTGAGATAAGGCAGATCCCTTCTGTCTATGAGCCTGTGAAATCAAAAACAAGATAGTTCTTTCCTGGATACAATGAGGGTACAGGAATTGATTAAGTACACCCATTCCAAATGGGAGAAATTGGCCAAACTGCAAGGCCTACAGGCCCTGTGGAAGTCCAAAATTAAGCAAGTCAGTCAAATCTTAAAGCTTTTTTGGGGGTGAGGTAAGAGTCTTGCTCTGTCACCAAGGCTGAAGTGTAATGGCATGATCTTGGCTCACTGCAACTTATGCCTCCCAGGTTCAAGTGATTATTCTGCCTTAGGCTCCTATGTAGCTGAGATTATAGATGCCTACAACCATGACTGGTGAATTTTTGTATTTATAGTAGAGACATGGTTCCACCATGTTGGCCAGGCTGGTCTCAAACTCCTGACCTCAAGTGACCTGCCCACCTCAGCCTTCCAAAGTGCTGTGATTACAGGCATGAGCCACTGTGCTTGGCCAAATCTTAATGTTTTGAAATGATCTCCTTTGACTACATGTCTCATATCCAGGTCACACTGATACAAGAGGTGGGATCCTACAGCCTTGGGCAGCTCTGCCTCTGTGATTTTTAAGGGTACAGCCCCCCTCACATAAACTATCACAGGCTGGTGTTGAGTGTCTCTGGCTTTTCCAGGTGCACAGTGCAAGCTGTTGGTGGATCTACATTTCTGGGGCCTGGAGGATGGTGGCCCTCTTCTCACAGCTCTACTAGTGCCCCAGTGGGAACTCTCAGTGGGGGCTCCAACCCCACATTTCCCTTTCACACTGCCCTAGCAGAAGTTCTCCATGAGGGCTCCACTCCTTCAGCAAACTTCTGCCTCAACATCCAGGTATTTCCCTACATCCCCTGAAATCAAAACTAAAGTTCCCAAACCTCAATTCTTGACTTCTGTGCACCTGCAGGCCCATTACCACATGCAAGCTGCAAAGGCTTAGGGCTTCCACATGCTGAAACAACAGTTTGAGTTTAAGTTTGTCCCTTTTTGTCCACAGCTGACATGCAGATCACCAAGTCCCGAGATTGCACAAAGCAGCAAGGCCCTGGGATGAGTCCAGGTAATGATTTTTTTTTTTCCTTTTATGCCTCCAGGCCTGTGGTGGGAGGGGCTGCCATGAAGACCTCTGACATGCCCTGGAGACATTTTCCCTATTGTCTTGGTGATTAACAATTGACTCATTACTTATGCAAATTTCTGCACCCTGCTTGAATTTCTCTCCAGAAAATTGGTTTTTCTTTTCTATCACATCAATAGGCTGCAAATTTTCCAAACTTTTATGCTCTGCTTCCCTTTCAAAAATAAGTTTAATTTGCATATGTTGAACCAGCCTTGCATTCCAGGGTTGAAGTTGACTTGATCGTGGTGGATAGGCTTTTTGATGTGCTGCCAGATTTGGTTTGCCAGTATTTTATTGAAGATTTTAGCAGTGATGTTCATCAGAGATATTGGAATGAAATTTTCTTTTTTTATTATGTCTCTTACTAGGTTTTGGTATCATAATGATGCTGGCCTCACAAAATGAGTTAGGGAGAAGTTCCTCTATTTCTGCTGCTTGGAATAGTTTCAGAAGGAAGGGTACCAGATCCTCTTTGTACCTGTGGTAGAATTCCGCTGTAAATGTCTTGTCCTGGGCTTTTCTTGGTTGGTAGGCTATTAATTACATCCTCAATTTCAGAACTTGTTATTGGTCTCTTCAGAGATTCAGCTTCTTCCTGGTTTAGTCTTGGGAGGGTGTATGTGTCCAGGAATTTGTCCATTTCTTCTAGATTTTCTAGTTTATTTGTGTAGAGATGTTTATAGTATTTTCTGATGGCAGTTTGTATTTCTGTGAGATCAGTGATGATATTCCCTTTCCATCACATAAACAGAACCAATGCCAAAACCACATGATTATCCCAATGGATGCAGAAAAGGCCTTCAACAAAATTTAACAACCCTCATGCTAAAAATTCTCAATAAACTACGTATTGATGGAACGTATCTCAAAATAGTAAGAGCTATTTATGATACACCCACAGCCAAAATCTCAGCTGGAAGCATTCCTTTGAAAACCTCACAAGACAAGTATGTCCTCTCTCACCACACCTATTCAACTTAGTATTGTAAGTTCTGGCCAGGGCAATCAGGAAAGAGAAAGAAATAAAGCATATTCAAATAGGAAAAAAGGAAGTCAAATTGTCTCTGTTTTCAAATGACATGATTGTATATTTAGAAAACCCCATCATCTCAGCCCCAAATCTCCTTAAGCTGATAAGCAACTTCAGCAAAGTCTCAGGATGCAAAATCAATGTGAGAAAATCACAAGCATTCTTATACACCAATAATAGACAAACAGAGAGCCAAATTATGAGTGAACTCCCACTCACAATTGCTACAAAGAGAATAAAATACCTAGGAATACAACTTACAAGGAATGTGAAGGACCTCTTCAAGGATATCTACAAACCACTGCTCAAGGAAACCAGAGAGGACACAAACAAATGGAAAAACATTCCAAGCTCCTGAATAGAAAGAATCAATATCGTGAAAATGGCCATACTGCCCAAAGTAATTTATGGATTCAATGCTATCCCCATCAAGCTACCACTGTCTTTCTTCACAAAATTAGAAAAAACTACTTTAAATTTCATATGGAACCAAAAAGGAGCCTGTATAGCCAAGACAATCCTAAGCAAAAAGAACAAAGCTGGAGGCATCACACTACCTGACTTCAAACTATACTATAAGTCTACAGTAACCAAAACAGGATTGCGCTGGTACCAAAACAGATATATAGACCAGTGAAACAGAACAGAGGCCTCAGAAATAATGCCACACATCTACAACCATCTGATCTTTGACAAACATGATAAAAACAAGCAATGAGAAAAGGATTTTCTATTTAATAAATAGTGTTGGGAAAACTGGCTAGCCATATGCAGAAAACTGAAACTGGACCCCTTCCTTACACCTAATAAAAATTAAATCAAGTTGGATTAAAGACTTAAACCTAAAACCATAAAAACTCTATAAGAAAACCTAGGCAATACTATTCAGGGCATAGGCATGGGTAAAGACTTCATGACTAAAACACCAAAAGCAACGGCAACAAAAAAGAGCTTCTGCACACCAAATGGAACTATCATCAGAGTGAACAGGCAACTTACAGAATGAGGAAAAATTTTTGCAATCTATCAATCTGACAAAGGGCTAATATCCAGAATCAACAAGGAACTTAAACAAATTTAGAAGAAAAAAAAAACCATCAAAAAGTGGGCAAAGGATATGAACAGACACTTCTCAAAAGAAGATATTTATGTGCCCAACAAACATATGAAAAAAGCTCATCATCACTGGTCATTAGAGAAATGTAAATCAAAACCACAATGAGATACCATCTCATGCCAGTTGGAATGACAATCATTAAAAAGTCAGGAGACAACAGATGCTGGAGAGGACGTGGAGAAATAGGAATATTTCTACACTGTTGGTGCGAGTGTAAATTAGTCCAACCATTGTGGAAGACAGTGTGGAAATTCCTCAAGGATCTAGAACCAGAAATACCATTTGACCCAGCAATCTTATTACTGGGTATATACCCAAAGGATTATAAATCATTCTACTCTAAAGACCTATGCTCACATATGTTTACTGCAGCACTATTCACAATAGCAAAGACTTGGAACCAACCCAAATGCCCATCAGTAATAGACTGGATAAAGAAAATGTGGCGCATATACACTATGGAATACTATGCAACCATAAAAGAAGGATGAGTTATGATGTCTTTTGCAGGGACACAGATGAAGCTGGAAACTTTCATTCTCAGCAAACTAACACAGGAACAGAAAACCAAACACTGCATCTTCTCACACAAGTGGGAGTTGAACAGTGAGAACACATAGATACAGGGAGGGGAACATCACACACCAGGGCCTGTTGAGGGATGGGGGGCTAGGGGAAGGATAGCATTAGGAGAAATACCTAATGTAGATGATGGGTTGATGGGTGCAGCAAACCACCATGCCACGTGTATACCTATGTAACAAACCTGCATGTTCTGCACATGTATCCCAGAACTTAAAGTATACTTTTAAAAAGTTCCAAATCCAAAATATCTCTTTGTGAATGCATAAAACTGAAACCCTTTAAGAGCACCAAGGTCACATCTTGACAAATTTATTGCTTAAAACTTTCTTTTGTCAGATACCCTAAGTAATCTCTCTCAAGCTCAAAATGCAGGAGATCTCTAGGGCAGGAGAAAAATGTCATCAGTTTCTATGCTAAAGCATAGTAAGAGTTACCTTTGCTCCAGTTTCCAGTTCCCAAGAAGTTCCTCATCTCCATCTGAGAGCACCTCAGTCTGGACTTCATTATCCATATTACTATCAGCATTTTTGTCAAAACCAATTTACAAGTCCCTAGGATGTTCTAAACTTTCCCACATCTTCCTGTCTTCTTCTTAGCCCTGCAAACTGTTTCAACCTCTCTCCGTTACCCTGGGCTCAATCAATCCTCCTATCTCAGTCTCCCACATAGCAGAGACTACAGGCATGAGCCTCCAGTCTCCAAAACATTCTCATGCATGTATGCAGCAGAAGGAAAAGAAATAAAAATAAATGTCTATGTGGGTTAAGCTATATTTCTTAGATAAACATGTGAAAAGATTGAAAAGGTAAATGAAAAGTATAACATCAAATTTGAGGTCTAAATGGGAGAGATAAAATTGCCATACTCTTCCTAGTAACATATTACTCATAATTGTGCAGAAGGAATGGTCTTATAGAGTTGCTTTTGGAAGTCAATCTCATATCATTCCTGAAGGCTTACTGAGGGGTGAACCCCAGCTGCTGGTTATGTAAAAGTTACTGATCAATCATTTGTAAAACTTAAAATTAGGTTGCCTCAAAAAATAGTCATATTAAATTTCATCAACCAATTGCTTGGTTTTATTGCAAAGATACATCTAAGGAAAAAGGTAAATTTACTTTATCTTCTGTAATTAAAAAAGAAAATTTAATATTCTAGTACCAACCTGAAAATAAGTGTTAGTGTAAATCAATAATTTTCTTGCATTCTCCATACATTTTTGTAAGCATGAAGGTTTTGGAATGATAATAAACAAAATGATATTGCAATAAGAAGATAAATACCGATGTGTAAATACTGGTTATTTTAAAAGTCCTAATACATTGTGAAATTGTTTTTTGTTTTCTTTCTACAAAAGTGATATAGTTACTAACTGAGCAGAACATAAATAGGTTTTATTGTTTAGATGACTGAGTCAGGTTTAAATGTCATTTAGGAATGCTTACAACGTATGACATTGAGAGATGAAAAAGAAAATTACCATTTCAAGTCGACTGTGACTTTGTCTTACATTTATGCAAGAAAGGACAAAACTCACTAATATATGAAGAGAGAGTTTATATTATTGTTTTGAATTTTCTTATCTTGATATGATTCAGATTTATTTATAATGGAATTATTTAGATAATCTGCTTATCTAATCACTATTAAGAGGAAAGAAACCCTCTCTGCCAGCTTCTATTTATTACTGCTGTAATTCTGTTGAAAATAATTGGTAGTGGAGTGTCTTTGTGATTTCCCACTATTTCTGGGATAAAATTCTACCACAGAAAAGATATGAATGCAATCAGAAAGATCCTACTTTTTTATACTGTACACAGGTTTTATTTTGTCAAATTGAAGTAAGGGTTTTACCCCAACTAGAATGTATTCACTTTTTCAAAAATACAAACGAACAAACAAACCTATGTTATTCCTTTGGTCTTTTTCCAGCTCAGGCATTTGTAATATTCTTTAATTAATTTGGTTTTTTCAAATAAATAATGTTCTTTATAATCTTATAACATTTTAAAATACTTTTAATTTTGCTAGATATTGGCAAAGGAATAAGAAATGGAGGGTAGATAAACATATTTTTGAAGCATCTACTATGTATCACTATTGGTGCTAGTCATTTAGCAAAAGTTGTTGGAACTTGGGCATAACTTCTATTCTGGATGATCTGGGGGAATTAACCATACAGTTGGCCTTTGAACAACATAGAGGTTAGGAGCATGTCCCTTCACATAGTTGAAAATTCATATATAACTTTTGAACTCCTCAAAAGTTATATATAATTTTAGTATATATAATTTTCTCCAAAAATATGATATAGTTTCTTGCTTTTTTTTTATGTATCCATTGTATGTTTTTTGGTTTGAGGTTACCATAGGCTTGCAAATACTGTCTTATAACCCATTATTTTAAGCCGATAACAACTTAACATTGTGTGTATAAACAAACAAGCAAATAGAAAACTAATAAAAACTCTACTTCTTAAGTTTACTTCCCAAATTTTTAACTCCTTGTTGTTTATATTTATAGCTTATTGTACCCTCTATGTCTTAGAAAGTTGTTGTATATATTATTTTTGATTGATTCATTATTTAGCCTTTCTACTTATGGTAAGAGTAGTTTTCGTACTACAGTACAGTGTTATAATATTCTGTGTTTTTTTGTGTGTATTTACTATTATCGGTGAGTTTTGTACCTTCAAGTGATAACTTTTTGCTCATTAACACTCTTTTCTTTCTGTGTAAAGTACTCCCTTTAGCATTTCTTGTAGGACTCATCTGGTGTTGATAAAATCCCTCAACTTTTGTTTGTCTGGGAAAGTCTTTATTTCCCCTTCATGATTGAAACATATTTTTCCCAAATACATTATTCCAAAGTAATTTTTTTCTTCAGCGCTTTAAACATGTCATGCCATTCTCCTCTAGCCTGTATGGTACCCACTGGAAAGTCTACTGCCAGATGTATTCAAGCTCCATTGTATGTTATTTTTTTCTTTTCTCTTGTTTTTAGGATCCTTTCTTTGTCATTGATCTTTGGGAGTTTGAATATTAAATGCCTTGAGGTAGTCTTCTTTGAGTTAAATTTGCTTATTGTTCTATAACCTTCTTGTACTTGGATATTGATGTCTTTCTCTAGGCTTGGAATGTTCTCTGTTATTATCCCTTTGAATAAACTTTCTACCACTGTCTATTTCTCTGCCTTCTCTTTAGGGCCAATAACTCCTAGATTTGTCCCTTTGCGGCTATTTTCTCGATCCTGTAGGCATGCCTCACTGCTTTTTATGGTTTTTTTTTTTTTTATTTTCTCTCCTCTGACTGTGTATTTTCAAATAGCCTGTCTTCCAGCTCACTATTTTTTCTTCTGCTTAGTCAATTCTGCTAGTAAAATACTTTTACAGTATCCCAATTTTACAGTATCCCAATTTCATTTTAAGTTCCATAATTTCTGCTTGATTCTTTTTAATTATATTCATTTATTTGTTAAATGTATTTGATAGAATTCTAAACTCCTTCTCTATGTTCTCTTGAATTTTTTTTTGAGTTTCCACAAAACAGCTGTTTTGAATTCTCTGAATTCTCTGTCTGAAAGGTCATATATCTCTGTTTCTTCAGGACTGGCTTCAAGTGCCTTATTTAGATCATGAATTCCTTATTTGAGGTCCTTATTTGAGGTCATGTTTTCCTAGATTATCTTGATACTTACAGATTTTCATCTGTGTCTGGGCCTTGAAGAGTTATGTATTTATGGTAGTCTTTGCAGTCTGAGCTTTTTTTGTACCCGTCCTTCTTGGAAGGTTTTCCAAATATTCAAAAGGACTTGGGTGTTGTGATTTAAGCTATACCTGGTTTAGGGGATACCCCAAGTGCAGGATTGCTTTGGTTCTTGCAGACCCATAGAGGTACTGCCTTAATGTTCTTGGACAAGATCTGAGAAAGTCTTCTGGATTACCAGGCAGAGACTCTTGTTCTCTTCCCTTTCTTTCTCCCAAACAAATGATGTCTCTCCCTCTGTTCTGATCTACCTGAAGCTGGAGGGGGAGTGACACAAGTGGCCCTGTAGCCACCACTACTATGATAGCACTTGTTCAGACCTGAAGCCAGCACAGCACTGGATCTTGCCCAAAGCTTGCCGTAACCACTCCTTGGTACTGCCTATGTTCACTCAAGGCTCTGGGGCTCTACAGTCATCACGTGGCAAAGCCAGTCAGGCCTTTGTACTTCTCTTCAGGACAGTGAGTTTCCCCAGGACCCCAGCAGGTCCAGAGGTGCCACAGGAGCCAGAGACTAACATCAAAACCTTAGAAGTCTACTTGGCATTTTGTTGTATTGCAGCTGAACTGACACTCAAGCCACAATATGCAGTCCTTTTCACCCTTCCCTCCCCTTTCCAAAGGCAGAAGAGCCTCTCCCTGAGACCACTTCCACTACGGCCCTAGGGAAGTACTTACAGATGACTGTTGATGTTCCCTGAAGGCCCAAGGGCTCTTTAGTCATCTTGTGATGAATACTCCCTGACCTGGAACTCACCTTTCAGTGCGGTGGGCTCCCCTCTGAGCAAGGGCAGGTTCAGAAATGGTGTCCAAGAACCAAGTCCTGGAATCAGGGCACCCCCAAGAGCCTGCTTGACACTCTAATTCTGTATGGCTGAGCTGGTACTCTGTGCAAACCAAAGTCCCCTTTACATTTTCCTTTGCTTTTCTCAGGAAGAAAGAGTCTCAACTCATAGCCACTACAGCCAGGAATGTGCTGAGTCTCACCTGAAGCCAGCAAATCTCAGAGTCTCACCCAAAGTCTTCAACTGGGTATTGCTGCTGGTTATTCAGGGCTTAAGGGCTCTTCATTTAGCAGTTGGCTAATGCTTTCAACACTGGGCCCTTCCCTTTAAGGAAGCACGTTCCCTTCTGGACCAGGGAGCTAGGGCCTGGAAAAGGGGTCTTGTGGCTCTGACAAGTGTCCTATCCTGCTGTGATTGAGCTCTTATCCTGGATGCAAGACAAAGTTCTCCCTACTCTTTCCTCTCCTCTTCTCAAGTAGAATTAGGGATCTCTTGTTGAGCTGCAAGCTGTGCGTCCTTGGGTTAGCAGAGGGTGATGCCTGCACTCCCTTAGGCATCCCAGTTGGTGTCTCAGTAGATTGTGTGTCCCCACAGTCTCCTGGCTCTGGGCTGAGTTCAGTAGTAAGATTTATCTAGGGGTTACAGTCCTTGTGGCCTAGACTGCCTTACAAGTTTATTTAGAGCCCCAGGGCACCGTAGCCCACAGTAGCGAGGCTTGTGGAAACTCAAGTTCTGACTGGTGGGATTAGTGATTCTCCCATGGCTAAGGCTGGTTTAAATGCTCCCTCTGTGGGTAGGCATTAGTTGAGTTTGAGTTGATTTTGCTTTCTGTTATAACAGGACAGCACTGAGTTCAATGCCTCACAACTGCTGCAGTCTCCCTGCCCCAGCACCTAGAGATGCTCTCTGCACCATGCAGCTACTGCCAGTGGGTAAAAGGTGGGATCAGGGATTCAACACTGTTTTTTCTACCTCTTCTATGCCTCTTTCAGTCATATACATACTGTGAGTGCTCACCTGATTCTTGGTTCTTATGAAGGTACTTTATCGTGTATAGATTTTTGTTACATTGTTGCCCTTGCAGGGAGAACTATTGGTGAAGCCTTCTATTCCACCATCTTGATCCATCTACTCCACAGACTCTTGTATAATATACTTGATTGGCTCTGTCACAAATCCTGCAATGCCATGTACAACATCAGGACACGGTTTTCTCCAATAGAAATTATTTATTGTTTTGGTCTTGATGTGTTTCAAAGCTTTTTTCTATAATAATCGTAGCACCTTCAATGGTATAATTTTTCTAGACTTTCACACTGTTCTCTATTGACGTTCTCTTCTATAGTGTTGATAATACTTTCTGTAAGAGTACTGTGTGTAATGAGCCTTAAAGGTCCTCATTCCTCCTGATCTAGAGGCTGAATTGGAGATGTTGTGTTTGAGGACAAGTAAATTGCATCAACACCTTTAATGTTGAACTCACGGAGTGCTGGGGGTCTAGGAGCATTGGGCAATATTAAAATAATTTTAAAAGGCAGCCTCTTACTGGCAAGGCACTACTTGACTTCAGGGATAAGGCACTGATAGAACCAATTCAGAAAAAAAGGTTTTCGTTGTCCAGGCCTTCTTGTTGTACAACCAAAAGACTGGCAACTTTAGGGAACTCAAGTTCTAACTGGTGGGATTAGTGATTCTAATCTAGTGTTTATCTTTTCCCTTCAAGACTTAGGGGTTAGAAGCTTATACATAAGGGAAGTCCTGATCATAAACCCATCTGCATTTGCATAAACAGTCGAGTTAGCCTGTCTTTTCCTTCTTTAAAGCCTGGTGATTGCTTCTCTTCTAGACTGATAAATGCCATTTGTGACATTTTTTACTCCAAGATAGGGCACTTTAAGCTACATTAAAAATTTCTTCAAGCAGACACCCTATTTCCTCAATGATTTTCTTATCAACATCTGGGAACTTGTCTGCTGTCTCTTGCTTGGCAGAAGCTGATTCTTCTGCTATCTTGAAATATTTTTAATCCAAATCTATTTTTAAAATTATTAACTATCTTTTACACCCATTACATTTTCCACCATTAGATCTTTCACCTTCTTTTTGCTTTTTCTCAAATCATATTAGAATCTATAGGTATGCTTTACTTATAGCAATCCTGCACCTACATAAAAGTTGCATTTTTAATACAAGATAAAAAGATATTTCACTAGAAGCGCAAGGTTTTGTGCCTTCTTGTGTGGATGCAGCTTTGGCTTCATGAATTTCCTTTTTCTTTGTTCACAGTGGTCCTTCCTCAGGATTCATTTATCTTAAAATTTGCATAACTGCAGCTGTAGACCTAAAGCTATGTTACACATCAAGCAGTTCAACTTTCTTGGAATACCATGATTTGTCTCTGCATTTTCTTGAGAGCATTTCCAGCATTGGTAGTGGCAATTTTTATGGTCTTATAGCATTATTCAAGGATTACCATATTGCACTAAACATGATAAAAATATGTAAGAACCATAAAAGATCACTTTTTACTGTACTGGAGAGATGGACTGCTCACATAGAGATAATCAGCATCCACTTGCAATAGGAGGTGGCTACAAAATTTTTGAAGTAGTTCAGTATGTAATATAGTTAATTTTATGCAGTTTTAATTTAATATTGCATCTCTACACTTGTTGACATTTCTCTAGACTGGGAATGGTGCCATGTACAGTCTGTAAGTATTCATGTGCATAAGTTTTGATAGTTGTTAAGGTTTTGTAATAGACTTGTGTATATTCAATAGTAGTGAATGATAAAATAGACTAGAATCTACATATATTCTACGCATTCGTAACATATCTTTTTCTTTTTTTTAACATTTCTAGGATATGAGTTTCATCCACAATTTTTTTCAAATTGATGCATATCTCCAAAAACTTTTCCAATATATTTATTGAAGAATTATTCATAAAAAATGCTAGTTAGCTTTCAAATGCTGTTGAGATGTAGATAAAATTGATATCTGATAAACAATCATTGACCTGAAATAAATTGCTACTTCCAACATGTGGACAAAGTTCTCTAGTGGTGAGTTTTAAGATTTTGGTGCACCTGTCACACAAGCAGTGTACACTGTACCCAGTGTATAGTCTTCTTTCCTTCCCCCTCTCACCCTGCCCTCCAAGTCCCCAAAGTCTATTCTATCATTCTTATGCATTTGCATCCTCATAGCTTAGCTCCTATATATAAGTGAGAACTTACAGTATTTTTTTTTTCCTGAGTTACTTCATTTAGAATAATGGCCTCAAATTTCATCCAGGTTGCTGCTAATGCTATTATTTCATTCCTTTTTATGGCTGAGTAGTATTCCATGTTGTATATATGTAACATTTTATTTATCCACTTGTTTTAAAACCAAAAGATTGTCTCATGGAAATGAATATTAAAACAGTTTAATGAAGGATATTATATTCACCAATGTTTTATCCACAAATAGGTCAAATTATATAAAGAATGAAGAATAGTAACTGGATATGGCAAATAGACATATAACGTGATTAATAGAGAAACCCAGTGAAACTATAATAGTAATTATATAATGTGAAAGGGTAAAGATTAAAGATATAACAGACCTGAGAGATCTTCACCAGCAGGCATGTGCATTACCCACTTTATTCCATCTCAGCATGCCTACGAGAAGACAGTGAATCTTAAAAATACCTTGGTTTGAAGATTATATAGAGAGCACAGTCAACACAAAGAGGTTCTGAAATAAGAATGTAAGAATTTGCTAATATTTTTTGTTAGATTTTGTACTTAAACCATGGTTTCCAGACCTTTTGGCGCCCTTCTGACAGCTTTTCCACTTACTACTCCTTTGTTACATCATGAACATATATTTCAATTGTTATACACACCTAAGAGAAATTCAGTTTATCTCTGTAGGGAAAATATATCCGGAGATTTTCTTTTAACCTATGTCACTGAACAAAATTATAAGAACTGTGAACACCTGCTTCAACCTAACTCAACTGTTGAAACTGAGAATGAGACCACCTGGGTCAAGATAATTTAACTGTGCCTTCTGGGATATTCTTGCACGGAAGAAGACACACCAAATCAACAAATAATTTTACTATTCACTTCTGGAAATTCTTGCAAACAAATTTATGCAGGCCAAAATTTGCTCATCTGATCAAGCAGGTCTCCTATCATGACAATTTAGTCATCAACATTCTCATTGAGACCCTCATCTTACCATTCATAAATTATATTTACTCAATCCTAAACTCCTACTTGAAAAGCCTCCCTTAATCAGTCATTCTCATATTACAAAATTCAATAAATATGCTTTCTTAATTTACATCATTTGGGAAACAGAACTGTCAAGGTGCTGTTTTCCTTTGCTGCCGTAGTTTCCATAAACCCAACTTTGCGTGACTGACAGGTTTTTCTAGTGTCTCTGTGTTTCAGTTGATATGCCTGATCGCATATTATGGAAACTAAAACAAACAAACATAATAATCTATCCTAAAAGTCATGGAGAATCAGATATATATGCCTTATTTTCCAAAAAAAAAATTTAATTGAGCATACTACAACATGGTTATAGAATATAAATAATAAGCTGGGTGTGGTGGCTCATGGCTTATGCTTGTAATCTCAGCCCTTTGGGAGGCCAAGATGGGAGAATCATTTGAGGTCAGGAGTTCGAGACTATGCTGGGGAACATAGGGTTTCTGGGGAACTCTATCTCTACCAAAAACCAAACCAAAACAAAATTAGCTGGGCATGGTGGCTTGCACCTGAAGTGGTTTGTCACTTGGGAGGCTGACGTGGGAGTATCACTTGAGCCCAGGAGTTTGAGGTTACAGTAAGCCATGATTGCACCACTGCACTCCAGGCTGAGCAACAGAAATATGCTGTCTCTAAAGAAAAAAAGAAGAAAGAAAGCTAATGATGACAGCAACATAAATTCTTACAGCAAATGTATATGTGAGAAATTAAAAATAAAATTGAATATACCAGCATACCTGGATAATTTCATGATCATAAAGTTCAGGATAAATGTTCTATTAAAGTAAGAACATTCATATGTTCTTACATTTGAGAACATTAATATATGTTTTTGAATTCCCACATTTTCTTTTTAGAAGTTTTAATTTAGCTTTTTTTGTATCATATTTTTTGTTGGGAAATATTACTGTTTGCCTCATATTACTAAAATACATAGTCATTTCAGTGCAAATCAAAAGGTTAATAGAAATAGACACATATGGATACATTTTGAATTAATAATTACCATATATCTTCTAGGAAAATTTTATGCTGTCGATTTTTTTAAATTAAATATTAAAAGATGTAGATCCATTTCATATGAATATACAGTTATACCTATATATGCATAGGCAAATATTTATTTACTTGATTTTAAACTTTATTTTAGATATAGGGACTACATGTGCAGGCTTTTTTACATGGGAATATTGTATGATGCTGGGGTCTGGTATGTGGATCCTATCACCCAGGTACTGAGCATAGAGCCTGAAGGGTAGTTTTTCAATCCACACCTCCTCCCTACCCTCTTGACTAGACCCCAGTATCTGTTGTTCCCATGTTTATGTCCATGTGTGCTCAAAATTTAGCTCCCACTTATGAGTGAGACTATGTGGTATTTGGTTTTGTTTCTGTGTTAATTGGCTTGGGATTATGGTCTCCACCTGCATACAAGTTGCTGCAAAAGGACATGATTTAATTCTTCTTTGTGGCTGCATAGTATTCCATAGTGTATATATATACCACATTTTTCTTATCCACTCTACCATTGATAGGCACTTGGATTGATTCCATACCTGTGCTACTGTGAATTGTCCTGCCATAAGTATACAAGAACATGTGTCTTTTTGGCAGAATGCTTTATTTTCATTTGGGTATATACCAAATAATGGGATTCCTGGATTGAATGATAGCTCGGTTTTCAGTACTTTGAGAATCTCCAAACTGCTTTCCACAGTGGCAGGACTAATTTTTCATTCTCACCAACAATACATAAGCATTCTCTTTTCTCTGCAGCCTCACCAGCATCTGTTGTTTTTTGACATTTTAGTAACAGCCATTCTCATTGGCTTGAGATGGTGTCTTATTGTGGTTTTGATTTGCATTTCTCTGATGACTAGTGATACTAGGCATTTTTTCATGTTTCTTGTCTGCTTGTATGTCTTTTTTAGAGAAATATCTGTTCATGTTTTTCAACCATTTTTAATGGGGTTATTTTTTTCTTGCTTCTTGATTTTTTAAGTTCTCTATGGATTCTAGATATTAGGCCTTTGTTGGATGCAGTTCACATATATCTTCTCCCATTCTGGAGGTTGTCTGTTTACTCTATTGGTTATTTCTTTTGCTATGCAGAAGCTCTTCAGTTTAATTAAGTCCCACTTAGACAAATATTTATAACCTCAATTTGTCTGACAATATATATGCATATGTATTTCCTTAATGTTTTTATATATCAAGCTATAGCTTTTTTATATTTGAATATATTAATCTCCAAAACACAAACTACAGCCAGTGTATATTTTAGGTTGTAATATGATATTTAAACAAAATAAATGACATGACATTTAATAAGATAAATAATAAGCTACACTATAAGATTTTATTTAGTAATACATGCTAGTATTACATAAACATTCTTTCTGGTATACCACAAAGCTTAAATGACCTTGGGTGTAGAAAACAAACTGGAAACTAAATCCTGTCATATTTAGTTTCACAGCCATTTAAAAATGTAATCAAATGTCAGCAAAACAGCTTGCAGGCTAACAATATCATGTTCCAATAAAATGTTTGGACTGCAACATTAAATTATTGGATACTGACTTTTATCAGATTTGATTTTTCCCTTGAGAGATTTGATAGAACCCTCAGACACAGTCATATTTTATGAGGCTGAACTCTATTTTATTTCAAAATTCTCATTCATTTTATGCCTGGTTTGTGAAATAAATATGTAAAAACAAAATAATGCCAATAATTGGGATATTTTAATGAGCCTATTATGTATAAATCTATCTTGTTCTTTAATGGTAATATAATATTTTGGCTACACAGTAGATATCCCATGCTCTCTTCCAGAGAGATGAAATCCAACAAAATTTTCTTTGCAATAAAAGCAGTTTGTTAAAATAATATTGTGAAAATTTTCATATACTAAAACCCAGAGCAGATGTATTTTTTCTCCATTATCTGTAGTTTAGGAAACTAATGTTCAGTACACTTCACAAACATTAAGATTTATAAATTAAAAATATAAGAAATTAAATTTTCGTATAAATGAGTAATGAAATTTTAGATTTTCAAGGTATAATTTCTGTATTTGTGCTATACTTTTCACTTTATGCCAGCTCTACTTTTCCTTTTTTTTTTTTCTGTAATAGGCTACTGATAAACACTGTGGTATATACATTATTACATCTCATTTGTAAAACAAAAGAATAGAAATAGGAAATATTTACTATTTTAAAAATAATGAAATTCATCTTTTCAAACAAAGAAGAAAATAGTCATAGCTATTTCACTAAAAGTAGAATAATATTTGGGTAAAATTAAACATTCATTAGCATTAAATGTTTTGTAGAAAACTAAGATAAGAACATTTCTTCTCTGAATAAGTCTATTTGATATAAATATCAACAAAAATCCTTATGGAAATATCATCTTTAATACTTAAATGTTGAAATGTAGCTGTTAAAGATCTCAAACCAGTGATGTTAGCTAATAACATCTCTAATCTAGTAATTTAGTTCAAAGGTCACTTTTTTCTCTTTTCTACTGTCTACACTCTCATATTGTCAATAATGGCAGTTTTCTGTCTTTTCTTCTCATCCTTATTCTAGTACAGCAGGGAAGAAATTAGGTCTATATACAAAATATCAGGCACGTGTGTATATGTATGATACAAAATTTTTAGATAACTATAAGAAATTTATAAATGAAATGTTAAAAGATGTAAAGTTAACTTCAAAATATCAAATGATAGAAATAAATTTAACAAAGATGTGCAAGACCTATTTTGTAGACATCTATAAATCATTATTGAAATAAATGAAAATATCTAATGAATAGAAGTACATAACATATTCATGGTTTGGAATATTCGGAAAATGTAAAAATAATGTAAAAGTAATGTTTTGCTCTTATTTATCTACAATCTACGGTCAATTTCACATCCAATAAAAGATTAAAGTGTTTTTTTGAGGAGAAATTGACAAATTCATTCAAAAATTTATACAAAAAAGCAAAGAGCCAAGACCTGAAAGATAATTTAGAGCAAGACAAAGGTGAGAGGTTATCCTCTATATGACATCAAGACTTACAATTCACAGTAATTAAGATAGTTTGGAATTGTGAAAGACTCAATAAATAAACCAATGAAATATAGTAGAGACCACAGAATAGATCCTCTTGATTTATAACAAGGTTGGTCTTATGGAACCGAGGTCTTTTGAGTAAATGACAATCTTTTCAATAAATAGTTTTTCTTAATAAATGATGCAGATTCGTTTAGTATTAATACAAGGGCAGTTGGATACAGCCCCTAAATCACACCATTAAAACGGTAGCACTTCCAGGTTGATTGCAGATTTAAAGGTAAATAAATATCTTTGGAGATGAGATAGATGATTATCAACATAAACTTGGAGCTGAGAAATAATTTCAAATAGTATAAAAAATGCAATAATCCAATCTGAAAATATTTGTTATTTTGCTTATAAGCGGTACAAAAAATCCTAGATGTTCTATTTATGAAAAAAACAAAAAAACATTGAAACTAAAAACGCAACCTACAGAGTGGCAAAATATCAGCAACTCCCACAAAGTAATTATAAAATGTCACAAAACTCAAAGACAAATTAGTAGTAGACTTAAACCGACAGTTAACCAAAGAGGATATATCAGTGATTATTAAAAATATGAGCTGGTAGGAAACTTTTTAGTAAGAAGGAGAATGTAAAGCAAAACAACAGAACCACTCAAATGCCCATCATTTTTAAAAAAACCTACACAAATTTGATAATATAAAGTATTGATAAGGTGGAATAATTGAAACTCTGATCAATATTTGTGGGAGTAGAAATTGACACGACAAGTTTGGATAAGTTTGGCATTATTGATTACATTTGAATATTGGCATCCATGTCATACATAAACCCAGCAAAAAAATTATTGCAAGTATGGACCATGATATTTGTAAAAATAAAAAATTATTTATTGTAGCATTTTTCTTAAACCAGAAAAATTGCAACTGTTTAACAACTACAGAATACATAAGTAATTATGGCATATTCATACAATGAAATGCATTACATCAGAAAAAATGAATGGATTATAGATACAACAACCAAGATAACTCATATACATAATGCTCAGTGAAACGAACACAGCCTTAAGAAGAGTAAAGACACTTAAGGATAACTTGTATGTAAGTTAAACATTTTTAAAAAACAGGCCAAACTAAACAACAGATTTTGAGATACAAGCTTACATAATAAAGCTATTTTTAGGCATGTTTCAAACTGATATACAAAAATTTCAATGTTAACTTCAGCACAGTGGAAGGAAGCTTAAAATGGGGAGGCATTAGGGGATAATGGGGATATACACTTGTGTTTTGTGCATGTTTGTGCTTCTGTGATATATTTCATATTTTAAAAATTTAAAAATAAATCAACCAGGCGAGGTGTGGTGGCTCACGCCTGTAATCCCAACACTTTGGGAGGCCGAGGCAGGCGGAACACCAGGTCAGGAGATGGAGACCATCCTGGCTAACATGGTGAAACCCCGTCTCTACTAAAAATACAAAAAATTAGCTGGGCGTGGTGGCGGGCGCCTGTAGTCCCAGCTACTGGGAAGGCTGAGGCAGGAGAATGGCATGAACCCGGGAGGCGGAGCTTGCAGTGAACCAAGATCACAGCACTGCACTCCAGCCTGGGCGACAGAGCGAGACTCTGCCTCAAAAAAATAAATAAATACAAAGACAAATACAAATATATATACATATATATATACACATACACACACATACACACACATATATATATATATCTCAACCAATCAGAAAAATGACTAAAATCTCATATTTAAGTGATTATTTTGAATGTG
Organism: Homo sapiens; assembly: GCF_000001405.40. NCBI lineage: Eukaryota > Metazoa > Chordata > Mammalia > Primates > Hominidae > Homo > Homo sapiens. The sequence continues at coordinate 103,299,859 of NC_000006.12, read as the reverse complement.
AGTTGCAGGTATTTAACTTTAGGGAAATAAAAGTAAAAACTATTATCACATATATTGTTTATTTTGTTTGAAATGTATACAATAAGCATTTAGGAATATATCATTCAGATAGCATGCATATTAAAAGACAGACTCACAGCAAATAATATTATTGTTTTTAACCCTTGAATTACGTAGACATAAAAAGAAATTTGATTTTATATAATTTTACTTTATTTTAATTGCTATGTATTATTAAAATGTAGACTTTTGAAAACATCCATATTACTCACACATAAGCTATATGAATACATGAAAATAATGTACACGTGAAAGTTAAAAACATGTAAGATTTTAAACATGAAAAATCCTAGTTATTTTCATCAGCTATTGATATTTGTCATGCTTGTTTATATGAGTAATGTCACAGCTCGATATAATAAAAATATCTGTTTTCTCATACTTATATCTCCAGGGAATTATCAACTTTAGTAATTGACTTTCTAAATTTTATCTTTAAAATATTTAATGCCAATTTTATAGATTCAACTTTATCCCATAAATTTACATTAAGTATCAAGCTTATTGCATATTACCAATTGTTTTGAAAAGAAAACATTTATTATTGGTAATATAACTCAAAATAACAAAATTTGGAAAGATATTCAAATTACACACAACAAAAATTTTAAAAATAATAATAATTTTAAAATGTTCCTATTTTCTACCAAAGACCAGAGAAAAGGCATTATTTCTTCTTCCACAGTACAATTTCTTCCCATTGATTTGGATCAATTTATCTGTTCCCTCCTCCCATTTTTATATGCCTTATTGTATTATTTATCTAATGTATCTGTTACTGCAATTGTTTTTGTACTTTTCTAGTTTCTCTGATAAAATTTATATCTTTTGAAGGCTGTGTGTGTGTGTGTGTGTGTGTGTGTGTATCCTTAGTTCTTAGTAATGCTAAGTTACATTACCTGCCTTAGTTTGGGTTGCTTTAACAAAATACCATAAACTGGGTGGGTGGCTTATAAACAACAAATGTTTATTTTTCACAATTTTGGAGGCTAAGAATTCCAAGATCAAGGTGCCTGCAGATTCTTGCCTGGTGACAGCCTACTTCCTTATGGACAGTGCCTTTTTTCTGTGTCCTTACAGGGTGGAAAGTAAGAACTCTGATTTCTTCAGCCCCTTGTAAAAGCACTATTCCCATTCAGGAGTGCTCCACCCTCATGACCTAATCGCCTCCCAAAGGTCCCGCCTCTTAATACAATCACATTGAGTATTCAGTTTCAACCTATGAACTTTGGGGGGACGTGAACATTCACATCACAGTGCTATTTATTAAGCTATTGTTTCTCATCATGTGTCCATTCTCTGCTTAATAATGAGCTTATGACTGGGAATCAATCAAAAAAATTCTTTGACAAATGATTCCAACTCTACCAATAGGGTTTCCTAGAGTGAGAATGGAAGGCTAGAGGAGGAAGAAAATACTTACTTGTTTTTAGATGTTTCCTGTTTGGCTTTCCATTCCTCTCTATGGCTAGTCCTTTTGTCCGCTTTGTATTTGTGATAGACAGAATAATACTTACCTTCCTAAAGGATGTCCATGTCCTAATTCCTGAAGCCTGTGAATATGCTGCCTTACATGTGGAAAGGGACTTCGCAGGTGTCACTACATGAAAGATCTTGAGATGGGTGTATTATCCTGAAGTATCACAAGTGTCCTTAAAAGGGAGAGGCAGGAAGGTCAGAGTCAGAGAAGGAAATGTGGCAGTGGAAGACAAGGGAGAAAGGAGATAAGGCAATGCAAGCAGAGGTTGGAGTGTTGAGCTTTGAAGATGGAGGAAGGAGCACAATCCATGAAATGCAGGTGGCCCGCAGAAGCTGGAAAAGGAAAATAAATGGGTTCTCCCATAGAGCTTCCAGGATAAATGCAGCAAAAACAACATCTTCATTTTAGACTGTAAGATTCATCTCAGATTTTTCACTTCCAGAGGTACAATATAGTTTATTTGTGTTGTATTAAGCAAATAAATTTATAATAATTTGTTATAGCAGCAATAAGGTAATTTAGGAAGGAAATTCTGCCTTTGTGACAACATGGATGAACTTGGAGGACATTATAAGTGAAATAAGCCGGACCCGGTAGGAATACATATTCAGAAATATTATATGATCCGCTCTATACAAGAAATCTGAAATAGTCAAACTAATAGGTGCAGAAAGTGGAACGATGGTTACCAGGAATAGATGGAAGGGAGAAAGGGGATGGTAATGGTCAAAGGGTACAAAATTTTAGTTATGCAGGATGACTAAGTTCTGGAAATGCACTATATAGCATAGAGTCTATAGTTAACAATACTCGTTTGTGTACTTATAATTTGCTAATCTACTATTTTTGTCATGATCAGGCCAAGATTGCTACTCCACACCAGCAAAGGCAGTTAGTTCCAGTAATAACAATTGATTTCAGTCTGTATTTTTCTGGTACTGAAACTAGCTACACTTCTTTCTCAGGGGTTTGAGTTTGAGCTCTGCGGGATCGCTCTGCCTTTTGTTTTTCTATGTCTAGCCTAGGTAGCTGCTTCCCTCAGGAGTTGCCTCTGTGATTGATACATTACTGTTCTCTTTTCGCCTTTTTAGTTGATAATTCTTGAAATAGTTTGGATATTTGTCGCCCCAAATCTCATGTTGAAATGTAATCCTCAATGTTGGAAATGCGGCCTGATGAGAGGTGTTTGGGTCATGGGGCAGATCCCTCATGGCTTGATGCTGTCTTCACGAAAGGAGTGAGTTCCGGCGATGTCTGGTTGTTTGAAATCATGTGGCACCTCCCCTGCCCACTCTTCCTCCTGCTCTTGCCATGTGACACACTGGTGCCACCGTTGCCTTCTGTCATGACTGTAAACAGCCAAGGCCTCACCAGAAGCTGAGCAGATGACAGTGTCATGCTTCCTGTGGAGCCTGTAGAACGATGACTCAATTAAACCTCTTTCTTTATAACTTATCCAGTCTCAGGTATTTCTTAATAGTCATGCAAGAAGAGCCTAATAAAATTCTTTATATTAAATTATCCCTGCCAAAATAACTTATATAGTTTCTGACTCTTGACTGGCTCCTTAACTGATATAGTAGGAAATCAATAAATTGGTATTAATAAAATGGAATTATGATACCATATGGGAGTTTATTTATTGTTGTATAGTTTAAAGAATCTCAAACAAGAAGAAATTGAGTCAAGTGCCAACAAGTCTCTACTCCAAAAAATTTCCATTATGAAAGAACCACATTTTTTTGGTAAATGTATATTTTAAAGACATAAACTAAAATTCAGAAGTTTCTCAAGGACACTCCTGAAGCTTCTTCAACTCTCTCTCATTCTCTCTCTCTCTCTCACGTGCACACACACATTTTACAGACTCTGAGAAAATTTTGATCTTTATATTGTCTACCATATTCCCCCAAAATATTATTTAATTAGTAAATTTGTTCATTATCATCTTTTCATTTTTTTGTAATTATTCTTTGTTTTTCCAAGAAATTAAATTCAAATGTGGAGATCGATATGCTGCTATTTTGTGAATTATGAGGAACTGCAAAGTTTATTCACAATAGCCAAGATATGGAAGTAAACTTAATGTCTTTCTAAGGATTAACGGATAAAGAAAATGCAGTATATACACACAGTGGATTATTATTTAGCATTTTAAAAAAGGAAATTCTGCCTTTGTGACAACATGGATAAATCTGGAGGACATTATGATAAGTGAAATAAGCCAGACCAAGAAGGAATGCATATTCAGTAATATTATATGATCCCATTTATACAAAGAATCTGAAATAGGTCAAAATAATGATGTAGAAAGTAGAAGGATAGTTACCAGGGACATACGGAAGGGAGAAATGGGTTGGTAATCGTCAAAGTGTACAAAATTTCAGTTATGCAAGATCACTAAGTTCTAGAGATCTACTATATGGCATAGTGTCTATAGTTAACAATACTCTTTTATATACTTCAACTTTGCTGAAAGGGTAGATCTTAGTGTTTTTTAATCACAAAAACAATATTGTTTTCTATTTGTTCCATTTATTTTTCCCCATTTTCTTTTTCTGGCTTTAAATTTTTTTCTGCCTACTTTTTAATGATTTAATTTTATATCTTTTGTTGGTTTATCCTCTATAATTCTTTGTTTAGTTATTTTAATGGCTGCTTTAGGCTTCCTATTATATACATTAATGTGTCACTGTCTATCTGATATTATCCCACTTCACATATAGTGTTTGAAACTGGTAATAATATACTTCCATTTTTTTTCCACCTGGTCTTTATGGTATTCTTGATTTATATTTCAATAATACTTTAAAAATAAACACATAATGCATTGGGCTTTTTGCTCAAAATTTTAAATATCTTTAATAGAACTTGAAATAACAAAATTATGCTATATTTACCATGTAAATACCTTATCTGATATTTTTTGCTATAGATTTACACTTTCATCTGATGTTATTTTCCTTCACCCGCAAGCACTTATTTTCACACTTCTTGTGTTGTGGATATACTGGTGATTTATTTTTTTCTTCTTGTATACATCTGAAATTCCTTATTTTACTTTCATTTTCTAAGAGGCATTTGTGCTACATATAGAATTCTAGGTTGATTGTTGTTGTTCTTTCAGTGGTTGGTAAATGTCTTCTTGTTTGCTGTCATCTTGCTTACATTCTTTCTAACTAGAAGCTTGCTAATGCTCTTATTTTTGTTCCTCTGCACATAATGTGTCTGTTTTCCTCTGGCTGTCTTTAAGATATCTCTTTACTACTGTTTGAGTAATTTGATATGGTATAGGTTGGCGTAGTGTTCGCCACGGTTCTGTGCTTGTGTTTGTTTTATTTTTCGGATAATTGTGAGAGGTGACAGCGTGCTGGCAGTCCTCACAGCCCTCGTTCGCTCTGGGCGCCTCCTCTGCCTGGGCTCCCACTTTGGCGGCACTTCAGGAGCCCTTCAGCCCACCACTGCACTGTGGGAGCCCCTTTCTGGGCTGGCCAAGGCCAGAGCCGGCTCCCTCAGCTTGCAGGGAGGTGTGGAGAGAGAGGCGCGAGCGGGAACCGGGGCTGCGCAGGGCGCTTGCGGGCCAGCTGGAGTTCCGGGTGGGCGTGGGCTTGGCGGGCCCCGCACTCGAGCAGCGGGCCGGCCCTGCCGGCCCCGGGCAATGAGGGGCTTAGCACCCAGGCCAGCGGCTGCGGAGAGTGTACTGGGTCCCCCAGCAGTGCCAGCCCACCGGCGCTGCGCTCGATTTCTCGCCGGGCCTTAGCTGTCTTCCCGCGGGGCAGGGCTCAGGACCTGCAGCCCACCATGCCTGAGCCTCCCACCCACTCCGTGGGCTCCTATGCGGCCCGAGCCTCCCAGATGAGCGCCACCCCCTGCTCCACGGTGCCCAGTCCCATCGACCGCCCAAGGGCTGAGGAGTGCAGGCGCACTGCGCGGGACTGGCAGGCAGCTCCACCTGCAGCCCCGGTGCGGGATCCACTGGGTGAAGCCAGCTGGGCTCCCGAGTCTGGTGGGGACGTGGAGAACCTTTATGTCTAGCTCAGGGATTGTAAATACACCAATCGGCACTCTGTCTCTAGCTCAAGATTTGTAAACACACCAATCAGCACCCTGTGTCTAGCTCAGGGTTTGTGAATGCACCAATTGACACTCTGTATCTAGCTACTCTGGTGGGGCCTTGGAGAACCTTTGTGTGGACACTCTGTATCTAGCTAATCTGGTGGGGACGTGGAGAACCTTTGTGTCTAGCTCAGGGATTGTAAACGCACCAATCAGCGCCCTGTCAAAACAGACCACTGGGCTCTACCAATCAGCAGGATGTAGGGGGGGGGGGGCCAGATAAGAGAATAAAAGCAGGCTGCCCGAGCCAGCCGTGGCAATTCGCTGGGGTCCCCTTCCACACTGTGGTAGCTTTGTTCTTCTGCTGTTTGCAGTAAATCTTGCTACTGCTCACTCTTTGGGTCCACACTGCTTTTATGAGCTGTAACACTCACCGCGAAGGTCTGCAGCTTCACTCCTGAGCCAGCGAGACCACGAACCCACCAGAAGGAAGAAACTCCGAACACAGCCGAACATCAGAAGGAACAAACTCCAGACGCGCCACCTTAAGAGCTGTAATACTCATGGCGAGGGTCCGCGGCTTCATTCATGAGGTCAGTGAGACCAAGAACCCAATTCCAGACACAATTGGATCTGTAGATTTGTAGTTTTTATCAGATTTTACATTTATTTCTGCAAATTGTTTGTTGCCTTCTTTTGAGGACTTTGGTTACACTTCAAGTTGTTCCATTTTTTTAAATTACTATTTATTCATGCATTCTATTATGAATAGTTTCTGTGGCTATATGTTTTCAAATTCACTTATCTTTTTCTATTAGTATAATGACTAATTTACCATTAATCATATCCACCTTATATTTTTCATCTCAGACATTTCATTTCCACTTAAAGTTTTATTTGAATATTTTAAATAATTTCCATGATTTTACTTAACTTTTGAACATCTGGAATCCAGTTTAATAACTATTTTAATGCCTCTGTTAATTCTAACATCTGTTTCAGTTCTGTATCAGTGTGAGTGATTTCTGTCCTCATTTTTTATTATATTCTCCTACTTCTTTTCATTGGAAGCCATATATTAGGAATTTTACCCTATTGAGTGATCTATATTTTTATATTACTATAAATATTCATGAGCCTCCCCTCTGCCATGCCAGGATGATGTTAAATTACTTGGAGACAGTTTAATTCTTTTGAGCTTTGCTTTTAAGATTGCTAAGTGAAGCCAGAATCGTTTTTAGTCTAAGGTTAATTATCTCCCACAATTGAGGCAAGACCTGTGTGAATATTCCACCCAGTGCCATATGAATTACGAGGTTTTTACAGTTTGTGAATGCCAAGCACTTTTACCTCTAATTCATTTAGCTAAGTCTTTTTCTCTAGTGTTCAGTAGTTTCCCGCCATTCATAAAGAAATTGCAACCCTGGTAAACAGTTGATGGGGATTTTCTGTAGATCTCCATAATTCTGCTACTGTGCAGGTTTCTCTTCTCTGCTATTTCGGTCTACAAACAGTAGCTGATGTGATCTCTCTGAGCTCAAATCCATCTCATCAATTCAGAGAATGCCAGATTCCCCTGGGTCCCTCTTCCACGTGCCTGGGAACTATTTCAAGGCAGTGGCTGGAGGCAATTGTAAGTGTCACTACATTTGTTTGTTCTATTTGAGGAGCACTATCCTTTGTTGACTGATATTCAGTGTCTCGAAATCCATCGTTGTATATTTTTGCCTATTTTCTTGTTTATGTTGTCAGTGGCAAGAATATAAATCTAGTCTTTGTTACTTCATTTTGGTCAGAAAAAACATCCAAACATTTGTTCTTAGATTTTTTTTTTTTAATTTAAAAAGCAGTTGACTAGCCTGGACAACGTGGTGAAACCCCATCTCTACAAAAAGTACAAAAATTAGCTGGGTGTGGTGGCATGGGCCTGTAGTTCCAGTTACTTGGGAGACTGAGGTGGGAGAATTGCTTGAACTCGGGAGGTGGAGGTTGCAGTGAGCCAAGATTGCACCACTGCACTCCAGCCTGAGTAGTAAAAAGAGACCCTAACAACAACAAAAAAGCAGCTGAGTCTTTATTCTATTATTATTATTATTATTATTATTATTATTATTATTATTTTAACTTTTATTTTAAGATCAGGGGTACATATGCGGAATGTGCAGGTTTGTTACATAGGTAAACTTGTGTTATGGGGGTTTGTTGTACAGATTATTTCAACACCCAGGTAGTAAGCCTAGTATCCATTAGTTATTTTTCCCGATCCTCCACCTCCTCCCACCTTCTGACCTCCTATAGGCCCCAGTATGTGTTTTTCCCCTCTATGTATCCATGAGTTCTCATCACTTAGCTCCCACTTATAAGTGAGAACATGCGATATTTGGTTTTCTGTTCCTGCGTTAGATTGCTAAGGATAATGACTTCCAGTTCCATTGACGTCCCTGAAAAGAACACAATCTCATTCTTTTTTTTATGGCCGCACAGTATTGCATGGTGTATAAGTACCACATTTTATTTATCCAGTCTATCACTAACGGGCATTTAGGTTGATTCCATGTCTTTGCTATCATGAATAGTGCTGCAATGAACATAGGCATTCATGGAGTCTATTCTTTCAATCAAATCTGGCAAGCTTTTATTTAGATACTTAACTGTTTTATATTTAATTTATGTTTAATGCAATTATTGATATATTAGGCTTTAAGATTATTATTTTTTATTCTTTCCATTGTTTTATTTGATCTTTTCCTGCCTTTTTTGTGAAATTGCTGTTTTAAAAGTATTTTATTATTTCTACTCTATTTACTTTCAATGCTTTTTTTAAAATGTTTTTATTTTTTGCTATCTTTCTAGCCTGCCCTAAAACCTGCTGTAAGCCTTATGGACTTACATTCTTTGTGCGTGTGTGTGTGTGTGTGTGTCTGTTTGTGTGCGTATAGAGCTCTATGAATAATGTCATTGTAACAATATAAACTTTGTAACAGTACATTTCCAATTCCATTTTCAACAATCTCACCCTTGTCATATATTCTACTTCTATATATAATACAAACCCATATTTCATTTTTATTATTTTAAATGTAAACAATTAAAGGTCTTTAAATGGTTTTTATTATAAATTCTTAGAAAAGAGTTTTATATTTAAAACACACTCTTTCTGAAGTTTTCTAATCCTTCCTGTGGAAACAGTCTTTTATCTGGCATCAATATTCTTGCAAACAACTTTTTTTGATACTGCGTAACTTCTGGAAATAAACACACTATCTTTCTAAAATCATCTTTATTTTTCTTTCATTTTTGAAGGTTTTTTTTTTACTGAACATATAATTTTGAATTTGTAACTTCCTTATTTTCATATGTTACATATTTCATTTGATTGCTTTCTGGTCTTCATTGTTTCTTATAAGAAATCAACCATATATTATATTATTATAACTTACATGTTATGTGACTTCTTTTTTGACTTTTTTTGTTTTGCAGCCTTTCATTTTAATATTACAAAGTGAGTTTTTTTTGTGTTTACTCTTTTTGAAATATCTTGAGCTTCATGGATTTATGGGTTTATGTTTTTCATTGATATTGGAAAATCTTAGTCATTCTCTTTACGTACTTTTCTTTGCACTTTTTTCTTTTCTTTTGTCTTTTCTAACTTTTTGTCTTTCTTGTGACTTTTTTTTAACTTGTTAAACTCCCATTTCGCATTTGGAAAAGCATTTTACATTATCTCACTGATCACAGAATGCTGTTTTATATTCTTTTCTACACTTAACCATTTTTATTTCTGGTTTTATGTTACGTTGGTCTGGTTTCAAGATCAATGAGTATTACCATGCTGTGTATAGTCTTTTGTTAAGTCCACGGAATAATTTTTTGCCTCTATATATTTTCTAGAATTCACATTTTGTCCTATATATTCGCTGCTCTTCCTCACTTGTTCACGTGTTGTTCACCTTTTCCAATAGATCCTTTAACATGTTTACTGTAACTAAAGACAATATAGATACTGTATTTATCACATTTATTTTATAATCCCTTTCTGACAACATCTGGGCAATCTTTTCATCTGGTTTTATTGACTATTTCCCTTCTTGACAATACGTTTTACTTCCTTGTGTTTTTCACATATCTGGTAATTTTTGATGAATGTTAACCATGATGTTCAAAATCTAGTGTAAATAATATTTAAGTGTGGAAAAGGACATGCTTCTTTTTCTCCCAAGCCTTCAGTGTGGGCAGTTGAGTCAAACAAGTCTGTGGTGGATTGGTTATTGGTATTGTGCTTTATCTACATTCAATTCACCACAGGTTTCAAATTATATGATGGCAAGGTTACACATTTTCTTTAGCAGTGATTAAGATCTGAGGGTCTAGAGGTTTTGACTCATTTCTCTCTACCATGCATCAGGCATCACTAGACCATGAGGATGTCTCTTGGGTCTCCTCTACTTTTCCAGTGGTAGAAGGGTTTACTACCAGGAACTTGTTGCAATATAAGTGCCTGTGGGGTTTTCCTTAGTAATGTCCTCTGCTAACAATGCACGTGAGTCTATCAAGAGCTCTCTTTCAACTCTCATATGTCTTCCCCAATAGCAGACACTTCCTGCCTGATTCTCAGTGTATGACCCAGAGTGCTTGTGGATTTTTCTCAGTTTTCCTCTCTGCACTCAGAATTCAATAAGTCCCATATGCCTATGCTTCAGGATGGTTGTTCAACCCTCTTGACCTCTGAATACTAAAAACATAAGTTTGTACTTCATCTGTCACAAAAATATTGCTGATAACTAATGTATACACTGCCCTGATTTTTTCTGTATCTTTATTGTAAGTAAATCTGTGACTCTGTGTCATTTTTCATTGTCAATAAATATGTCCTATTGCTATTTATCTCTATAGTGATCTTGCAGTGAAGAGGAATATAATAAATGGCAGCTTTTGGAATTGTTCAAGAGATAATACACCTATTTCCTTACACATCTTACTTTATCTAATAAAACCTTCTCAACAGCAGGTAATTAAAAATAAATATTTGTATTTATTGTATGCCATCTATAATAAAAATTAAATACTCATAACTTGTCAAACTGATTAAAGGGTATTTTATTTTATAGATTTAAATAAAATATAATAGAAATGTCACATGGGCTTAAAAATGTAATTTTAAAGTTACATATCAATTTCATATTAATGTCAATAAGTACAAGCTGCTAGTTTGGTGAAACGTGGTTTGTTTTTGTATTTTGTTTTTGTTGGAGAAAAATATAAAAACTCCATTTTCGAAGATATATTGTAATGAAATAAGAAGTATTAACTGTGTTTTTAAAATTATCCAGATATCCATATATTAGGCTATTTCAATCGCATTAATTATTTCTTCTTAAATGTATCTTTTCCTAATTTGTAGAAAGTGAAAGCTATAATTTTTATTTTCATTTTGAATAAGCACAATTTTTGTTTGAGTTAAATAATTCAAGAGCATTTCCACTGGAAACTCTTTCTTTTCATTACATTCGTGTAGAAAATTAGCTTATGTGATAGATAAGACCTTGAAATCTGTTATTACAAAGTTTTAGTTTTGATCACTTATGTGATTTTTGGATATATTACTTAACACCTACTAACCTCAGTTTTCTATTTTGTAAAATTTGAAAATAATAGCTTACTATTTTAGGATTGCTGTGAGCATCAAATGAAATAATACATATTCTATTATTTGTTTTTATGCATATTGCATTATTCCATATAGCCTATAATATCTGAAAATATAAGTGCCTTGTTTTTAGACCATAGCATCTATCCCAATAATTTGCATAGAGCAAATGGTCATTCTTTTTGAGAATTACAACATTCATGAATAATTTTTAAAAATATTAAACAATCCTCTTTTTTAGCCCTTTGATTGTCCAGAAATAGTGTCTAATAAAATTATTTATGATAGAGATGTTTGTACGAGGTTGGTTGACAAGTTCCGTAAGTATAATTCTTAAGTTCAATGGTCTTTTTTCAGATTTTTCATAGACTACCATGCTAAAGGGTAGATATTTCCTAGCCATTATCTCTGATTTGGTTTTATGACTTTGGAAAAATAAGTCATTGATTGTTACTAGATTATGACTGCTTCCTAATCAGGGCTTGCCAAACTTCTCTTTATTTTTTTCTCTTTTATATCTTTAATTCAGTCTTCAGATATCTTCCTCCCATTCCAGATAAAATCTAGAAAGACATAGAGTGAGAGCTCAAATTAACACTTCCTTAAGTCACAGATAAAACTCTACTCTCTGGCCTGACTGTCATCTTGAATATGGAATGAAAAATATGGAAAATATGATTATCTGTTTATCCCAAATGAATATATAAAAACTAGGGGTCAAAGTTTAATCCAAAATTATATTAATCTACATGACTTTATATTTTGAACATTTATTTCCCAGAGAGACCTCATAGAGGAGTGGTTTGTGTAGAATAAGAATTGACTAATAGGGTCTAAAACCGTTCATTCTCAGCATTAATTAGAAAATCGGAGAATAAACTGTGATAGAACATATTTTATTCAGGAATGTTAAATACAAGTTTTCTCCAATTATTAGCAATGTGGTATTGGTATGGCCTCATAGATACAACCAAATAGGCTTATCAAGCCAGAGCAGTAAGAAGAATATTCAGAATGTGGTATCTGCCATATGGAAAACATTAAAGATGATTAAATCAGAGCCTATTTATTTTATAAGAAAGCTTACGTATTTTATGGAGTAAAGTGAACTTACCATTATTCAGGAGTCACATAACTTAGTCAAGCAGTCATTAATAATGGCTCTCTTTAAACCAGTGTTGACTTGTTTTTCTCTTTTGCTTTAATAGTTTCTATATGTAGATGCTATTAAAATTTATCATTACAAACAGCAATTCTGAAAGAGCCCTCTGTAGTGACCCCCTGAAACTTGCTGAATCTCCATAAAAAAAGACATTTGTATTTTATTACTTAGTAGTATTCTCTCTTAAAAATGACATATATTCCAAAATCTTATTTTACTATAAACATAAATAAACATATAAAATGTCTTCTTTTTTTTTCTTAAAAACATTTAAAATTGAATACTGAATGTTGTGGTTTTGTTTTCAGATAAAAGCATCTATTAGAATAAAAATAATGTTAATTTATTTGTATAATATCCATATTAATAAAATATATGCTAGATTATATTTCATAGATACATGCTAAAATGGCTTTTTACAAATATTTTCATATTCTTGGTATTAATTTAACTAAACACTGAAATTATCATTGTCTGAAAAAGGATTAAGTAAGGTGTCTTCAATATATGCAGTTTTGACAATCCATTTAGACTCAGGGGAAACATTATTTTTACATTAAAATAAAAGAAAAATTGATAATGAAATATAGTGTAAAGTTTCATTTATGCTTATTTCTGGGGTTTTGTAATAATGTGGTAGAATTTTTTTCTCCCCTTTATTTTTTCCATTAGTCCACACTTATATTTAAGTCACAGCATGCAATTGAGCTAGAAAATTATGAAATAATTGTAAACACAGTATGACTCCTTTAAATAAAATATTTGTGAAAATTGGAGTTATGCACTGTTTTGCCCAACAGAGCAAGAGAAGACTTTCATTTTAGTAATGTATAATCAGGTGTTGTCATTCATTTCTAAAGTTCCTGTTGACTCTGAGATGAGCCATTAATGTGTTTATTTATAGGATTCACAGTTTGTTTTGATTTCATTCGTTTCAACTGACATTTTAGAGGTTAAATGCATGACTTGATTATTTTATTATAAACTTAGACAGTAAAGGTCTCAGTTCTACTTATTAAGTAACAATTTATTTTCTTGCCCTTAACTAGAAACTATTCTTGTTAGGCCAGTAAAACAATACAAAAAAGAACATTACAATTGTTATTAATTAACAAATAGTAGCTGTGTTGTAGAAGTAATGGTCAACTCTAAATGTGATTTGCAGGGTTTATCTTAAGAATATGTAATAACAGGTTTGTAAGAACAGTCTGAGTGTTGGCTTCTAGCACCAATACTGACAGACTGAAGTAGAGAGCAGCCTGTTTCATAGAAATCTGTGACTATGTTCTCTTTGATCCATAATGGAGTTAATTATAATCAAGTACATAGGAAGTCCACAACGTTTTTTTTTTAAGTAATTGTACCACTTAGATTAAAAATGATTCATACATTTCAAAGTTAAAAGATGCCATTGGACTTGAAATCTTCTATGGACAGGACAAACTTATAGAAACCTCATCTTCAAACAAAAATAGTTTTTATGGCAAATGAAGACTAGCTTAAGAGGAAAAAACTAAGAACTTGGATGACTTACCAAAAAAATACATGAAGAACCACTCACAAGGAATAGAATTGAGTGTTAATCAAGGACCTGTGATTGGCTGGATTTTAAATGTCTATAAACTTTGACTATGAAATGCCTCCCATTTGTTTATTTTTCTGATGGCCATGTCTTTTGAAGTTAACTTCTCCCTCTCTCACTCTTGTATGTTGGCTGTGTTGGGCACAGGTTGTCTCCCTCATGCTCACCCCATTCCACCCTGTTCAGATTGAGAAAAGCTGATCCAGAGGACTCTTATCCACTCTGGAACTGAGTTAGATAATGATATCCTGCATCTCAAGTTCCAGGATAATGGCATAAATCATGAGATGAGACTTTTGGGCATCTGGAAAGATAAACATATTTTGCATGTGTGAAGGATATAAATCATTCAGCACAAGAGGTCAGATTCTGGTTGTTTGTTGTATTAATGGTGCCTGATGAACCATAGCCTCCTACATTCTAACACATGTGTAGCACTTTCTCCATAAAGCTGGATAGGGCTTGTGACTTATTTTAACTAATATAATTCAGTGGAATAACATGAGTAATCTCCAGATTAAACTTTTAAGGAAGCCTAATAACTTTATAGAGAATTAGATTAAAAAAGAACACTAAATGTTAAATATAAAATTATAGTGCTTATAAAATCATAGAATATCTCTGTGACCTTGGTTTAGGCAAAGATATGTTAAGAAGAACACTAGAAGTATAATCAATAAAAACCAAAACATTACAAATTGGAGTACATCAGAATTAAAATATCTACTGTTAACTTCTGGTTTAAGTTCCAACAGGCAACGAGTTTGGAAGTAATCACTTCCATCCTTACAACAAGGAAAAAAGCTGAATAAGTTAAATATTAACAACTGTTTTTGGAACCATTAGAAAACTGAGGTTAAAAGGCAAAACAGTATCCTGAAATCTGAAGAGGCAGGCAAATACGGAGAAAAAATAACCAAGGTTAGTTTAACTAGATAAGAAGCCATTGGAACTATAAACTGGAAGACACACTCAAAGAGCAATTTTAACACATTGCTAAAGGCTAAGGGTAGAGTAGGTTGAGAGTGAGAAACTACTTAGGTCATAGTCATAAGAAGAGGACTATGAGCTATCTTGGCTTTTACCTGTAGGAATCCTACCAGGTTCTCAAAGGTGAAAAACCAAGAAATTACACTTTGTGTCTTTGGCATGGAGAAAGGAAAATAAACCATTTCAAAATATACTAAATACATTCTCTGTAACAAATGCCTACTGTCTAGTCAAAAAGACTTTTCCAGAACCCTGTGTTACACAGACAGAAGGGCAATTACCCGGGTATAACCTCCTCCATCTTTCCTGTCTTAAGTATGAGAGAGGGACAGAAAAAAATCTTGTAAATACTGTGAGAATCAAACTCAAAGATGTCAGACCCACTAAGAGACTGAGATGTTATCAGAAGACTATAGATTTTTTTTCCCACTTCTACTCCCACATCAACAGTATCCAGTTAGAAATGTTAGTGACAAATTCTCTATGTTTTTGTTTTGCAGTGAAAGCAGAACTTATAAATTTATATCATCAATTGCATATATTTGAAAAGAAGTTATGTTTAAAATGAATAGTTTAAACTTATACTTTAGGAGACTAAAAAGAACAATTTAAGCATAAATAAAGTAGAATAAATAGTATAAATCAGAGGAGAAATAAATGGTAATGAAAACAGAAAAAACAAAATTTAATGAAACCTAAAGCTGGTTCTTTGAAAAGAACAATAAAATTGACAAACTTCTAGCCAAGCTAACTAGGGATAAAAGAAAAAGAAAACACAAGGTGTACTAATGTCAAAAATTAAAGAGTAGTTATAACTATTCCTATCATAGCCAATAAATAAAAGAACACTATAACCTACTCACTATCCACAAATTTGGTAACTTAGAAGAAAGATAATTTAAAAAAAATACACAAGCTTCAAAACTCACATAAAGAGAAACAGACAAATAGATTAGACCTATGTCTTCTAATGAAATTGAGTCACCAATAAATAACATTTAAAAAAAACATAAAGTACCAGTTCTATATGGCTTCCTTGGTAAATTATGTCAAATATTTAATTAGAAAAATATTCCGATCCCCTATATTCTCTTCCAGAAAATAGAAGCAGAAGAACATTTTCTAAGTAATTCTATGAATTCAGTGTTATCCTCGAACCAAGATAAAGACATTAAAAGAAATCAATATATGTTATAAACATAGATGCAAAAATCGATAACAAAATATGATCAAGTCCATCAGTGTATGTAAAAAATTATATGCAATGACCAAGTAGTATTAATAATAGTTATGCAAGACTGATTTAGCATTAAAAATCTAAGTAATATAACCCATCATATTAACAGGGTAAATAAGAAAAATTATCACCATAGCAATAGATGCAAACATAATTTTAAAACATCCAACATCCGTTCACAATAAAAATTCTCAGACAACTAGGAATAGAAGACAAACTAAATTTGATAATAAATGCCTAAAAAGCCCAACAGCTAACATCATACTTAACAGTGAGAAGTTAGTTGATTTTTTTCCCTAAGATCAGGAACAAGGCAAAGATGTCACCTCATGCCAGTCCTTACTACATAATACCAGACATCCATAGATGGGAGTCATTAAGAATGTTGAGTACCAGTGAAAAAGACTTGGGATGTTACTTATCTGTTTATTTGCAAAACAACAGCCTTAGGTCTTCTAAGGGTTCACAAGTGTAGGTCTTCTTGTCTTTCTCAGGAGTCTGCTGGGACTCATAAGACACAGGTTTAATCTTGAATAGGTGTACCCAGCTAGTGATTCTCTGAAGTTCAACAGCAATAGGGGTGCTTAACAATACCTGATAGGGGCCCTTCCATTTTTGTGATCTACAGGGGATCCTTCTTTTCAAGTTTTTAATAAGACTAAGTCTCCTGGTTGAACAGGAGAACTATCAATATTTATGAAGGTGGTTTTTATACATCTATATTGAACAAACATGCATGTGAAATATGACTTTGTTTATGTTGGGGTGGAGACTCAACCCTTGCCTGATATGGTCTTAGATCCTGTTTATAATTTGGTATCTTATTGCCATAAGGAGTCTGTTCTGAAAGTCTTATGATTTATGTTTTAATGTTAATGCTGATCAATTGTGCCTTATTTTCAAGTTGGGGGGAAGGTATAGGAGGTGTATCCTCCCCCCATCAGACCCTGCTTCCTGTCATGGCCTCAACTAGTTTCTCAATTTTTTTTTTAATTCCCTTTGTCCAAGAGGTGGGTACATTCTGTAGGAGGAGGAGTGATTAAGGTTAATTAGTTTATTTTTATTTATTTTAGTTTATATTTCTGCTTTTTAGTTAAGACATGCCAGAGGCAGTATACATTGCCAAGCTTTTATTTTGTTCCATAGTGATGTGAGGGTGGTGTGCTACCTGCCCCAGGTCCACCATATCTCTTGGTGGGAACCCTATGGTGAAGAGACTTAGAGTCAAAAGACTTATAGCCAATTAAATGCTCTAGGCCAGATGCAAATAGAGGAGGGCAGGCAGTAATTAATTTAAAATCTCTTTTAAGCGACATAAGAACCAAAAACCAAAAGCCAAAATGCAAGGTTGTAAAATTAACTTATCTATAAATTCTATGTATTGAGCTACTGTAATCTTGGCTTAAAGCAAGTAGCTATACAAAACACCAGCATTTTGTTCAGCTATTGAGGTATTTGTGTGCCAATCCTTGATTTGGAGGGTCTGAATTAATTTTAGCCCTCAAAACTGGCCCTTACAATGCGATAGTCTCTAGTTCTGGAGGGATTGAATAGTTTCAAATTCTGGAGCTAAAAATGAGGAATTAACAATATTTTAAATAAAAAGCTAATAAGTCCTGCCTAGTTTTAAGAATGACAGGAAATGAGTTAAACATTTAAATTATTCAGTATCAAGGCATAGCATAAATTATATTATTTCAGATAAAGGCAACATTATTAAATGAATCTTAATGCTTTTGAATACAAGCCTGACCATGTGTCTCATGAAAGCTGTTTATTTTGATTGTCGCTTTTGCCTGAATCTGAAGATGAAGTTTGTTTAACTTGAATTTGGTGTTAGAAACTGACAGGAGTTAATGCCTTCTTTAGATGAGATATACGTACTCAGGAGTTGAAGCCCTGTAGCTTAACAGCACAAGGATTTGTTAATAGCACCTGATAAAGACATTTTCAAGGGGGCTGGAGGGAGTCCTTTGATTTTTTTCAGTATATGTAATTATCAGGCTGGGAGTGGTAATACTGGAGTTCATGGTCTGACTGGAAGCTGTAAAATGATTCTACAACATTGCAGTGAGTATTTTTTATAGTTTTAAAAAGTCCCAGCAATAAAAAAATAAGTCAGAGACTTACTTAATTTAGGATTTTGATTTTGGGAACATTTATTAAAGATGTTAAAAGACCCAAACATTTGATTAAAAGAGAATCACAGGTCATTGTGAAATAATACTTACTCATTTTATTGAAGTGATAATCAAAATGACTTTGAAAGGCAATAGACGTAAAATCCTTAACTCTTTTAAATCTTAAAATTTGGCAACTAAAAACCTAATTAAGACGGCATAATAATTATAAAATCTTGTTTCTAAAGCCAGTTACCAAAATGGCAAAACAAAAAAATATTTTGCACTGTGACTGCTTCTCCTTAAGGAAAGCCCATTTATATAATCTGGAAGTCAAACTTGGTGAAAAAAGTGCTTGATTTAATCAGACACAGGAAGAGTGTTTTCAAGGTTATGAGTATAGCAGGGGATTATGTGACTCTTAAGAACAGCATGAGTTTTCTGATTACATTGAAAATTTAGATATATCAAGAAAAGCCAAGAGTAGAGAATCAAGTTATGCTAGAGGAAAACGTTGCTTTTTTGTTTGACTTTCAAGATAAAATATTACAGCATCAGGCCATAACAACAGTTAGAACCAGAGGAAAAAACATTACAGGGGCTGATGAAAAACTTGAAAGAGAGAGTTGTCATTTTAGGTCTTCTCAAGGGGAAAATACGCTGAAAGCAGTGAGACACAGACAAAGTTGAACTTCTGACATATGATTCTGAGAAGTTTTTAAAAGAGAAAGCTTTTAAAATTAAAAGTAAAATTTCTTGTAATTTTGTTGAGAGCAAATCAATACCTTGAAAAATCTGGTTTTACGTAGGAGACCAATCTTACAAAAGCTATTATAAATGATTTCCTTTTAATTATAATCAACTTAATCACATACAAATTCCTTTTATAAATTCTCCTTCACAAGCCTTATCATAACTTACACGGGCTACCTACAACATGCTTGGACTTTCTGAGTTGTTCTAAATTTTGTCTCTCTTAACTTATCAGTTGTTTTAATTTAATACAACAGTTTACCATATAAGACCCTTTTTCATACAAAATTATTCTCTTTTCTTCATAACTTTCCTTACAAAAAATACATCTTTATATTCATAATTTTCTTCATATCTCTCTCTCCCCTACATATTGGTTCCTTTCTACCTTGTCTCATAAATAACCATTTTTGAGTCCATAATTTAATTGACCTTAGATAATTTCTGAATTAGATAAAATTATGTTTTTACTCCATGAAACTAGATCCCGGAAGGCTTTTGGCCTCCAATGCTGTCCAGAGAGATACCAATTAAGCAATCCAAAGAATAAAAATCATCAAAACCAGAAAGAAAATGATAGGTATAAATTTCAGGGTGATGCGCATCACTAGTGAGGCACAGACAGCAAATATGCAGCCAAAAAAAGAGACACGGGGATCAAGAAGCAGTACGTTCTGGCAAATATCCCTCTGAGCCTCAGTTTATCCATCAGAGCAACATTGTAACCTGATACCTCTAAAGGCCAAAAAATATTGTGCAACAAGGTGGTGGCCAACCTGGGAGATCCTACAAGGCCAGGCTCCCTAGCAGACACAGCCCAAAGGATCCAACAACTCTGGGCAGGGAGCTCTAATCCCTAGTCTCCACAGAATATAAAGGAACATGGTATCCTTGTGTCTCCTGGGGATCAGAAGGCTAAGTGCATTGCAACAAGAAAAAGGGACAAGAAAGGGAAGGGAAGAGACAACAAAGTGCGCTCACCCAGATCCTACTTACCAGAGGTGGCCAATTTCTGCTGCAAACTGAATTTCCCCAGCCTAGGGCCTCATCTTAAAATCCCTTTGTGGTATTGCCAGGAAGAAGTTGTCAGAAAAAGGGGTTCTGATCCCTATCCCAAGAGAGAATTCTTGGATTTCACACAGGAAGGAATCTAAGGCAAGTCACAGAGTGCAGTGAAAAGAGCTAGTTTATTGAAAGCTACTCAGATACATAGTAGGGCATCCTCAGAAAGCAAAAGGAAGCACCCACCATCTTTTTTTTTTTAAACACTTCTTATCTAGGGGTCTTGTCTATGTAAAAGCTACTTTACATTATGTCTACATGCTGGTGGGTTGACAACATAACATTTAGTACTTTGTTGATTTAAAGAAAGTTATTCTTGGCATTTTAGTGTGTAAGTACAACAAAGTATGACTATAATCATCTTAAAAACATAAATTATTATGCAATATTAGATCATCGGTACATTTTGTTGTCATAGGGGTTTGTCCTTGCAGACATTATTAAACTACTCTCTTAGCAGTAAACATCTTAGGACCATGAGTCATGATTAGCAAGAAATGTGCCTTGCTAGTTTAAAATGGAGTTGATTTTTAAATGGTGTCAGCCTGGCCCTCCCAAGTTCCTGTTTCCCTAATAACACCATGCCTTCTGCTTTACTGTGAGCATAACTAATAACTTTCAGTTTCTTGAGCATGATAATTTTTTTCTTTTTTCTATAAGTTAGTTCATATTATCTCTACTGCCTAAAATATTCCTCTAGTTTCATTCTTCTCAGTGAATTCATGTTTCCACCTTGTCTTTAAAAACTTTTCTTATACCATAAACACAATGGACCACTTTTTCCTTTCTCTATTGTGCTACATTGAACACTCTAATTGATCAAATGTATTAGAATTATTGATTTATGTATTTATTCCTTCTGATTGCAAGTCTTAACAGACTGGGACTGCATCTAATTGGAGTCTGCTTTTCCATCTTGTAGCACATAATGAGGGCATAACAAATACCTTATTACATGAATTTCTGACTTTGTAGATTGATTTTAGGATGTTTCATCTTGTCATATCTAAATAAGTCTCTTGTTTATTTCTATATTGGACGAAAGAGGTGATATTATTTCTTGGAGACAGTCTTCTGTCTATCTCATTCTATGTCTGTATCCATTTTTGAGGTAGGAGATCAGCAGAACTTGTTTTCTGAGCCTTAGTTATGACCCTGCTTATCAAGAGAGGATGTAGCAAAGAAACCAGCAAAGCCAGCTAGAACCAAGATGGTGATGAAAGTGACCTCTAGTTACTGTCACTGCTTATTTGCATTTGCATAAGATGCTCCCACCAGCTACGTGATGTTTTAGAAATGCCATGGCCACAACCCAGAAGTTGCCTTACATGGTTCAGGGAACTCCCCATTCCTTTTCCAGAAAGTTCGTGAATAACCCACTTCTTAATTAAGTATATAATTGAGTGGGTATAAATATAGGTAGTCAGTAATTTTTGAGGGCTACCCTGGAGCACTCTGCCTATAGTATAACCCTGCCCTGTCTGTGGAATAGCCATTTTGCTGTACACTGTTGCTCTAATAAACTTGCTTTCTTTCACTGTTGGCTCGCTCTTGAATTGTTTCCTGAGTGAAGCCAAGAAACTTCCCAGGCTGAGCCTCTATTTTGGGATATGTCTGCATTATTTTCATTATATGTTAGTTGAGTGTACAGATGCTTCTTGACTTATGAAGAACAGGCTTACAACCTTATAAACTCATTGTAAGTTGAAAATATTGTAACTCAAAAATGCATTTAATACATAACATAATGAATATCATTGCTTAGCTTATCCTGTCTTAAATGTGCTCAAAATATTTATATTAGCATAGCATTGGGCAAAATCCTCTAATACAAAGCTTATTGCATAATAAAATACTGAAAATGAAAATGTAATTACAATGAAAGTGAAAAACAGAATAACAGAATGGTTGAATGATACTTGAAGTACTGTTCTACTGAATGCACACCACTTTTGTACAATTCTAAAGTAAAAAAATCATAAGTCAAACCATTGTAAGATGGAAATTGTCTGTATTTAATTTTAGTTATTAATGTTGTGGAGTTTTTGTTTATTAAAATGTATGTTGCATGCAGAATTAAATTTGACTTGAGGCTGCCTTCATACGTACAGTTTTTATGTAACAAACTGCAGACTAACTTAATACATAAACAAACCAAAACCTGATTTAAGTCTCCAAAAAACAGCCGAGCTTCAGCTAATCACAAACAGGCAGGGTTCAGCCAATCACAGGCAGCCAGTTCATCACACCATGACCAATTAAGGGAAATGCCTCATTACAAGATGCCCAAATAAGGCAAATACATCGCTTTAGCCAAAGCAGCTGTGATAAGAAAATATTGCCATTGATTATTTTTGACAAATACTCTGGGGATAGGCTTTTTCCATGGAGCTGGATTTCATTTAGTCTGACAACAACAATAACCTGGGAATGGGCATTTCTATAGAGCTATCAGACAGATTCTAAGTGACAATGCTATGGAATAGGATTTTTTGAAAAGTCCCAAATCCAGTCTGCTTTCTCCAGAGCATGCAAGGCAGCTGGATTTCTTTTCTTTACTCTTTTTCTTTTTCTTTTTTTTTTTTTTTGAGAAAGAGTCACACTCTGTTGCCCAGGCTGGAGTGCAGTGGCACAATGTTGGCTCGCTACAACCTCTGCTTCCTAGGTTCAAGCGATCCTCCTGCCTCAGCCTCCCTAATAGCTGGGACTACAGGTGTGCGCCACCATGCCTGGCTAATTTTTGTATTTTTAGTAGAGATGGTGTTTCACCATGTTGGCCAGGCTGGTCTCGATCTCCTGACCCCACATGACCTTCCTGCCTCAGCCTCCTGAAGTGCTGGGATTACAGGTGTGAGCCACTGCACCAGTCAAGCTGCTGGATTTTGAAGCTACCATAGAGTTGTAGAGAAGGTAATGGTAGTAGGCCAAGTTTAATGGACACAAACCACGCTGCTCCAAATTCAGTCATTTTTCTACAATAAACACTCTTAGGTTGTTGGAAGCCTTTGGTTAGTTTTTATAATCCTGAAAACATCAATTTTAACACTTTTTGCTAGCGTTTTTCTTATTTTTTTTTTGAGGAATGTCCTCCCTTTGCCACTCTAGAAGAAGTCTTGCTAGATTGCCTCATGCTTACAATAGTTTTCTGTAAGAAATGTATCATTTAGCATACGTATTTCTATGTAATCTGCTTTATTTATTTCTGAAAAGCTTCTAACAATTAATATTCCCACGATAAGGATATCAGAGTGTTATTAGGGGAACAGGAACATGGCTGACACCATTAAAAATGTCCAAAACAAGTAGATTGAAATCGTAATTTTTAGAGTTCATGAACTATTATTTTTTTCATATAGCTAAAGCATGAATAGGTACATAGTATTTTTATTATCTATCTGGATCTGATGTTAACTTCCTGTGTAATTCTGAGAGTCTATTAATAGTTCCTATATATTTGTTGCTTTAGTTATAAAATGAGAATTGAATTAATAGCTTCACTCATGATTTATTATATGAATAAATAAAAGTTATTTAATACTTTGCATGTATTGAGTACATAAAAACTAGAGTTTTTGCTACAGGGGTGAAATCAGGCTCCTTATAACCATTAAATGAATAGATTGAGAGGAATGCATAGTTTTATCTTTTGTGTATATCTGTGACCCCCTACCTATGGCACTGCTTAGAGTCCTTTTTTTTTTAATGTGAAGCTTTTACCTCCCCAAGTGTTTTGAAACAGAATTCCTTGAGTCCATTTTGAGAAATATTTGATGGCAATGCATGAAGTAACTTGCTTTTTTCAACATATTGTAATCAGTCACTTATTTTTAGAGCTGAATGTTAATGAGTCATTTCATGTTCTTAATTAAAAATGTTTCAGAATGGCATTGAAACATAGAACAAATGAACAAATTAAGTCCATTCTGCATGATAGTTCATTTACCCTTTTAAATAATAATATATTTTTAAATGTTGAAACCAAGCACTAAGATTAATATTATAATACAGCAAGCTAAACTTAGTACTTAAATGCTTTTTTATGACAAAGTCACTTTAGGGTCATACTCTTCTATCTAATATCCTTTTTAAAATATTCTGGATAAATAGATCTCAATTATCACAGTGAATCACCTAGCTAATCACTGTTCTCATTCTCATTCTACTCAGCCTATGGCACTAAGAAACTTTATTTCTTTATTACTATTTATTATTTGTTTAGCATTAAGTTTACCCAATTTGTATTTCGTAATCATTCTGTCTCATTCACCAATATAGTTTCATTTTATACTTGCTATTGTTTTTTCTTTTACATATGTTATTATTCTCTAAAATTCCATGCACTTCTATGATGTTTATTATTCAAGAATATGCTCTTTAAAAATAAATTAAGGTTGTTAATGAAAAGACAGAATACATACCAGAATCCAGTGATAAGGAATATCAGAAGCATCTAGACCTAAATAAAATAGTTCCCTTGCAGGAAGTTTAATACTAAGTCCTGAATAAAGACCTCGGAATTTTATATACTACGGAAATTTCCAAGAAGGAACCTAAGTAGTTAATAATCAATTTCCAGTGTTGCAATTTTATTTCATTATTCCTGACTGAAATTATGAATGTATTTTAAATATATACTTTCAGACAATATCTGTTTTCATTTAGATAAAAGATTCCTATTTGATTTTTAAAGAATTACAATTAATTTCACTTAATAATATATACTGAGATTACAATTAAATAAAAAACAATATCTGATTATTGAATATATTTTCTCAAATTTATAGCTTTGTTATACAATATTTTTCTTGGGAAAAAATATGTAATTTTATAAAGAAAATAAAACTCATGCTTTTATGAAGGGCAAAACCATATAATGTCAATCATGTAAAATTTTACCAAGACATATTTTCTGTTTTTGTTGCAGAAATTGATAAGCTGATTATAAAACATATTTGGAAATGCAAAGAATGTAGAACTAAAATATTTCAGTTTAAAAATCATGTGTTCCTTTTTAGTGTAGCTTAGGTAGTCTTTATTTCCTATGCTGTTTCTTAATTTTTTTTAAAGATATGTCATTTAAAATTAAGATAGTGGTAATTTGCTTCACAGGCTTTTAGCACTGATAACCCTATATTAGGAGTTAAAAGGATGTTTTGTAAGGGTATAAACATTCAAAATTTTGATGTATATTGGAGATCAAAAGTGCCATTTAGGTGAACATTGGATGTATTTATCTTTAAATAAACAATTTTATTTATTAGATGGGAGATTAAAAAATGTTGAGTCAAATTGCTCATATTAAGTTCCAGATTGTTTTAATACTTATACTTTTTTGCCACTTTCACATATTAGTCTGACTTTATATTTAAATAGAGTATGCTACCTTATGTAATTAGCAATGGAAATTATTTCAGCTATCTTCATGAAAACTTTGTTTTTTCTAAATATTACTTTTTTAAACAGGAAAATAATAAATGTTTACAACTAAAATATACCATTCATTTTCATTAAAAAATTTAAAAATGTTCTCTGTAGCAATGAATGAAATTCTCTTAGCTAAAGATCATGCTTGACCTGAAAGAAGACTGTTGGGTTAATGCCTCACCATTACTAGTCACTATTTAGTGGTGATGACGATTTTTTATTTAGAAATAGTAACGCCTTTTATGATTGATGTATCTTATTTCTTCATAAGCACCATTCTAGCAAAGAGAAACAGCTGATAAAAATACAAAAAATAAGTGAAAGTAATTACATGTGTTGCACATTTTTAGGAAACAATTTATTGGGGAAATAGAACACACTGAATTGCCACTTTCAGGTTTACCTAAATTTTTGCACTTAACCTATATTTTTCTACTATGAGCAAGGAGTTTATTTAAAAACAAATACACATTTTTTTATTTGAAGACCCAGAAAAAAGATGTTTGATAAATCAATAATGTGATTTTCAAAGAAAGAACCATTTTATATTTATTAGTAGTGAATGCATTTTTTTTTTACATAGATTAGAACTTTTGAAGGTAAACCAGATAATCTATCTATCTTATTGAAGGATTTTTTCCCCCTGTCAGTTCCATGGCCTATTTATGCCTGTTAAGCACTTAGAACAATAAAATTGTCTTTCATGAAATGGGAAAAAAGGCAAAACGCTCTATAGTTTTACAATGAGGTTACTATTTGAAAATTTTAAACATTACTAGTTTTTCTCTTTAAAAATTTTTACTTTTTCTTTTCGTGTAGAGAAGGGAGGAATTATTGGAAAGAATGCTTTTTATTTCTTTATTTTAATTTTGAGGGAGGTTCAGCTGTGTCACAAGTAATACAAAATATGCCAAATTTAGTAATAAAAACTACCATGTGAGGGTTATTTCTACCAGAATCTCAAGAAGACATGAAATGCTCTCATCTTGAAGTTGAAGGTACATGGCAAACTCATGAATGCCTTTGGTTATTCTGTAGGGGGCAGCAAAATCTAAACAAAATAAGTTTTGAAGGACTACTGACAGGAACCATTTAGCAGCTGGTCTGTTCTATGAGCAGAGGGGTGGAATATACCTGAAATGCTTCAAAATTATCATCATGGCTAATTAAAATTCTTTACGTTCACAACAGGGGTTGCTTGTATTCCCCTTTATCTAATCTCTTCCTTTATATACACAACTACTGAAGCTGAACAAAACCAGTGAGATAAAATTAACACACAAATTGTTTTTCCTCCCTTTGGGCAGGAAAAATCCTGTTTACAAGGAAAATGATATTATACATAAATATTTATGAAAAACAGAATCAAACAAAATAATTGTGTTTTTGTGTAAACTAGCAAAAATAACACGAGGTAGAATATTTGATACATTTATTAACTGTTCCACAGTGTCCAAAAATAAAATTTATTTAGAACATAGAACCATTTGCTATCAATAAATAATTTTAGGTTGTGCCAATTAAGAGAAACTAAAGACTTAATTAACCAATAAATTTACTCATGTTTCCTGTCCATCTTATAATGCTTTCATTTTAGTATGTTGTCAAAAGATTATCTCTTCATTTCCTTCCCCCTCACAAAAGTTTTGTTAGGAAAGAATTAAGAAAGCAAAAAGATACATTATCTTCATTAGGTTTCTAGGGGGGAAATTTAATCTAGTCAGAAGTATAAGTGGAATCACTTGAAGGACAACATTTTTCATTAAATGGGACATCTACATCAACCTATAAAATCACGTGATTTCAAGACTGCAGTATTCATTTTCTTTCAGAATTAAATCTCCAGGCTTTGTAAAAAAAAACTTAATAAAACACTTCTTATCTCATGTTCTTTGGCTTTATATTTTACTTATTGATTTTTCAAACAAATAATGTGTGTTAACCTCAGACATTGATCATGATATTTTTTAGGTATATATAAAATCTGTAACTGGCAAATTAAAGAAATACAATAATTTATGACATGGAGGATGTATCACTAAGGTATTTAAATATAAGTGAAATGAGATATTATTAAATTGGCAAAATGTCAAATAATATTGAATAAACAAACAAAATTTCACTTTTTTCTTCTATTTAGAAAGCTTATATACATGTCTTAGTTTCTCTAAACTTTCAACATTAATTTTATTTCTTTTCTATTTGTGACTGCTTATTCAGTTTCTTCTCAGAACATTCTATGAGAAACTGTATGCAGTATTGACAGTGTAATTAAATCCAAGTGTTTATTTTTTTTCTCCAATACTATTAGGTTGGTTGAAAAGTAACCATGGTTTTTGCCATTACTTTTAATGTCAAATGGCATTTTAATGTATAAAATCTATAAATGGCAAATTAAAGAAACACAATAATTTGTGACATGTGGGGGATGTATCATTAAGGAGTTAAAATAAAAATGAAATGAGATATTAAATTGGCAAAATATCAAATAATATGAAATGAACAATCAACATTTATCAACATGCTTTCAGCTCCAGAGTTTGGATAGACACACACTATCCAATCTCTAGAATTGAAGACATGTAGATAAATTGTAATGAAATTATTTCAAGGAAACACTCTCTCTGGCTATCTGACCTTGCTGTTCTAACTTGGGTATCCAGCAGATTTGTATACTGAGAGATACATACATCAATTTGAAATTACATTCTTTCTGTGTTCTTGTTCTTAAAAGTATACTTTCTTTAATAAAATGTTTAGAACATAAATGTGCATGAATGTGTGTGTGTGTGCATGTGTGTGTGTGTGTGTATGTGTGTTTGGTTTTTGAATCCATTCTTACAAATATGTTGGTCTCCAATTGCTTTAAAACAACTACACCAAACTGCATCTTCTCAAAATCATGATATTAGGAGTGTAAAAATATACAACTCATGATAAGGGAAGTTTGCACCAACCTAACATAAGAAAGTGAAATATTACAAGATGGATACTATTATTAAAGAAGATTAATTCATGTTATTTCTGTCTTATACTACTGAAGACATTGTTTAAATCCAATTTCAATTTGCATTCTTAATTCATCAACATTTCAATATGATTTATTAATATTCTTAATTGTCTTTTTCTCAACTGGATAGAACAAGCTGTGGGTAATGTACAGACTGCATCAAGAGAGCTTTAATTTACTCAGAAAATTTTGTGCACTGTTTTGTAAAAATTATATTTTACAGGAAGGAAAATCTTCCATCATTTAAAAATCAGGATTTTTCCAGATTATACTTATATATTTTAATGTACAAGAATAAATGTAATGGGCCTAAAAGAGTAAGACTCTCTGGTACATTTTTAAAAAGGGCTGAACATAGAATCAGAGCTCTGTTAAATTATGAACAATTAATTTACCTTTTAAAATATTTATATTTCTTCAATTTCTAAAATTACATGTCTTATTTTATTTTGTTTTATTGTAAGCCTACTTTTTAAAATCCATTGACTTATCTACATCAGCAATTTATCAAACATATTTTTCTTGCAGTCTGCTAGTTCAACCATCATAAGCTGCTTGCTAATTGTGATAATGTTTCATTGGACTCTTGTAAAAATAAGAAAAATAAAATCACTGTACAAACTTTTCCATAAAGCCAAATGCCATATGTCTTTTACTACCTAAACACTCACTATCCAATCTCTGGAGCTGAAAACATGTCGATAAATTGTGATGGAATCATTTCAAGGAAACACTCTCTCTGGCTATCTGAACTTGCTGTTTCAACTTGGGAATCCAGCAGATTTTTATACTGAGAGATACATGCATCAATTTGAAATTACATTTTTTCTATGTTCTTGTTCTTAAAAGTATACTTTCTTTAATAAAATGGAAAACAAATGTGCATGAATGTGTGTGTGTGTGTGTGTGTGTGTGTGTGTGTGGTTTTTGAATCCATACTTGCAACTATGTTCGTCTCCAATTGCCTTAAAACAACTACAACAAACTGCATCTTCTCAAAATCATGGTATCAGGAATGTAAAAATATACAATTCATGATAATGGAACTTATCAGAACAAAATTTTCATGGAACTACTCTAGTACCTATTTCCCCAACTCCTGGGATAATACTTGTTAAAATAATATATATTCCTTCTTTTCCCTTGTCCCTCAAGCTTCCCAAAAAGTATACAATAATTTCTATGGTAGATTGAGTACTGTTTATTTTCATGTTCCATTATTTCTGAAATAAAGACTCATACTTTCAAACTTCCAGACTGTTATCATTTTTGCTTCAAAGCACTTAAGAACCAATTTTTCAGAATGTAATGAAATTGTTGATATTTTCACGTAACAGTCTCAAGTAATGGCTTAGATAATTCTGAGACTCACATTCAGATAAAGCATACTCTTTAGAATATCTAACAAATACTCAACAATTTTCCATTTGTTTATGAAAATGCTACTAAAGCACCCTTTCATGGACATGAATTATGAGTCATTTTCTAGTGGTAGCTGGTAATGATGTGCTGTATTTCATTAAACAGTCTGCATCCTTTCATTTTATCTATTGAATCCATAGCTCATAAACACGAATTAGTTGGTTTAAGATGAGGGGGTAGTACATAAAATAAACATGCAATAATTATAGTAGCTCATTTATGTATACATTAAACAGAATGGAAAATTTTTTTAAAAAGCTATTTCAGTAATTTCTTGTAACACGTAGGATATGAGAGCTTTACAGAGACAATGGGTTACTCAGGATAACATAACCGCCTAATTCAAGAGTCAGAACCACATTTTGTCTCCTTTATCTCTGTCCAACACTCCTTTTACTAAAATGGTGGCATGCTACAACTCATATGAAAGTGTTGACTAATCACTGCTAAGGCATTTGAGGCTGAACAAAGAACTAAATAAAATGACACCACACTGATCATACTCAAATCTCTGACATGTAACTCATCAAGGTGACATTCTGCAGGTCATTCAAATTCTCTGATCTTTGCCTTCATTTTCATGTCTGCACAAAAACAAAGATAATATTATTTACCCGATAACACACATAAAACTTTCAGTACAGTGCCCTTCACCTGGTAAATATGCCACAAACATTTATTACTATTATTATTGTTATTATTACTCAATTAGTACTCTTTCTATTTTTACCTTAATGTACATAGTGTTCTGGACAATTACTCTCTTCAAGTAAAAGACTTAACAATAGCACTTTGTTCTTATATCTAAGTCTAGAAAATTACATTTTTTCATACATATACATTCTTTTCACTATGAGTATATGTAGTTATATGTAAGTGATTACATTTAAAAAGCCCACACCAAAACTTTAGGGTTAAATATGCTGTCAAGTTTTTTGAATTTTCTCTTTCATTTTTCCACAAAACTAAATTGGTTATTTTCTCTACAGAGTTTCCCGTGAAAGTTGTGGAATTGTTAATTTAAAATAGCTCCATTATATGCACTGCCCCTTGAGTTGTCACATGTGTAAGTTTATGTTTTCTCTCTAGGAGTCCCTATCTATCTGTGACAATGGTTTGAGAAGAGAAACTTCTGTTAGAGGCTCCTCAGTGATCATGAGGTAGGCTTCACAGGTTGACAAGTCAAACAAATGTCATTTATTCTATTTTTGGCTCTTCCTCCATCATTGGGATCATTTAAGTTTCTTTATTCCGTTGTCCCTAGAGATCTGTGCAACTCCATTTGAATTAGGTGCTGTCAAATCATTACATCTGTCAAGAATTCAAATTCCTTGCAATTCAATATTAAATTTTTCTTGTCATTTCAAAAAAATACTGAAGACAGTTTTCCCCAAATGGAGATAGGAATGTGAAAAATTCTCAGCTCTCACGGTTTTAATACTGGATTAATGAGTGTCAATCAATAATCTTATATCAGGTCATCTTTCCTCCATGAAGTGACATCTAGGAATAAAAATACTCTGCCACTCTGTGTCATTACTATTGTAAATATTTGCATCTGAGAAATGGTCTACTCTAGGAGTGGAGGACTGAGAAGATACTTCTGGCAGAAATTGAAAAAAAAATATAATCTGAAAAAAGTAGCAGTTAATAGTTTATGTAACAAATAAAAATTGCTAGTTTAGAAGACTCCAGATAGACTTATTCTAAAAATTACTGTAATAAAGATCTAAAAGTAAGACAGGAAATTCAAACTTCTAATCTTACATTCAAAAATCCCACTCTTGTCTTTCATCCTCTCCAACACTTATGCTCCAACATACCGTTCTTTCCACCTTGTTAAAAATAGACAAAATTTCAACTCCAGCTATATCAACTTGCTTTCCCCTGCATTTTCAGGTTTAGCTAGTAAAAAGTTCTCTTTTAAAAAATGATAAAATGACTTTACAGTTTTCTTTTCTGATCTCAGCTGTGATTCAGGGCTGTTTCTCATTGCATTTGCTTTTCCTAATTATAATCTCCTTCTAGCCTCATTAGTGCTGATCTAAATGTTTTCTTTTGGATTCAGGTTCTGAAT
The DNA here is from genome assembly GCF_000001405.40 of Homo sapiens. NCBI lineage: Eukaryota > Metazoa > Chordata > Mammalia > Primates > Hominidae > Homo > Homo sapiens. The sequence goes on along the minus strand of NC_000006.12, from coordinate 103,267,777 downwards.
CTAATGCTACCCAAACTGCGTTTGGCAGACCAGAATAGGTGTGTGAGCTCTTTGACACTTTTTAATACAAAGGCAGGATCCACAGTAATATTTAGAAACTTTTTTATAGCAATTTGACAGAGTAATTTTATACAGATTAAACTTTATATTAATACAAAATTGGATGGTTTGTATTTGTGCTTTTTCATCTAATTTTTCAACGGATTCACTTTTCTTGCATTTTGCATAAGTATCAGTTTACACCACATTAGGTATTTTTAAAAATAAATATCTGATCCTTTACCACAGATAGTTTAGAAAATCTGTTCTAATTTATCTCCAACTTACTACCTCTCAGATAATGACATTGGATGTTTAAAATATGTCTCCATCATATGTAGTGCTCTTTGAATTTCCACTTATGATAGGTGATGCTTTGCTAGTTTTGTTTTTACTTATAGTAAAATAGAGGCCTGAGTGTCAAAACTACCCTGAAATACATCAGTAAGGTAGACTGGGTCGTACTTTTTCCTAGGCTTAAGCCAAATTTGTAAATAGAGTTACTGGAATCTGCATTCTAATTAAAGGAAAGATTGGTTCAAATTATATGCCCAAGGGCCAGAAAAATAAAAGTTGAAGATATCTGAGGTTGAGAGAAACCACATTTGCTCATAATGCATGGGGTCGGAGCTGGCTTATGGCAAATGTCCCAGACCTTCTTGCATTGATGCAGTAATTCTAGAACTGTTTTTTCATGTGGGGAGGACAGAGGTTATCATAAAGCCTCAAAATCCTCACCCCCAACCTGAGTGTATGACCATTAGTAGCATGTCCGTCTACCCAGTCTAACAATAAAAGATTTTACGACTACCGTCCGCTTCTCCTTCCCATTCCCAACCACAAATAGGTCACCCGGTCCAATTCACTCTACAAATATTTATTCCTCTAATCGCTGCCCTTTTTTTCAACTTAAGCCCAGACTCATCATTTCTCACTTAAAGCATTGCAATATTCCCAACTCATCTCATTACATTCACCTTGTGCATTTTCTAGTACAAAGCAGTAGAATGCAAATATCTCCATGTGGGATTCTCTACCATTATGAAGCTTACAAAAATCACTGATTTCTGCTCTTGAGTGATCTACTCAAGATGATATTATCAAAGGTTGTAAAAGTCAGAACAAGACACCCAGAATATTTTTGGAAGCTTTTAAATGGAATTTAGTGTCAACATGATATCAAGCTTTCTACCCTAATAATGTGACATCAGTGACAGCTTTAAATTTCATATTAAATGATAGGTTGAGCAGGACAAAATGCTTTCTGAAGTTTTATTTTGAATTGCTGAGGAAAGCAGAATTCGGTGACAGTTTCGTCTCTGTAATCATCCTTTGAAACTACTTTGACTATGGAAAGGTTTTCAAACTCTAGTTAAGAATTGTGTAAATGAAATGCAAGAAACTTCTAGTTCTTATTCCAGTGTAAATGTGGAAGAGCCCATGTGCAAATTTTATTTTGCTTAATGGCAGTTAATAAATTACTCTATCTTATTTTAAATTACTACATGCAGTATATCTACACCATAGGAACTATAAAGTCCTTTTGAAGACAAACAAAAAATGTTTGTTTTCCTTAAACCTGTCTAATCATCAAGGAGCAAAGACAAAAATGGCAACGTGGCTGGAAGGGTGAAATGAATATTTATTTCAGGACATGTAAACCAATTGTTCTTTCTAGCTAGAAACAACCCTTAACATTCTTCAAAGGCATATTCTATAGTGAATTATATATGGAAAAATTTGAAACCATTGTTTATGCAGATTTTATTGATATTAAACGAGAACACTTGACATATTTTCTGACAATATTAACAGATATTTTAATTCAAGATTCTTGTAAAAATATAGGGATAGCTTACAATCTTTCCACTCAATATTTTAAAATATTTCCAATTTTTTTAAATTTGTATTTCTTCCTCCTATTCACATTTTGGGAAATTAATTAAAGTAGGGGATTGGACAGAATTTCTGCAAAGTTACTGCCTGATTTCTAGCCAGAAAACTAGGGCCTATTTAGTTGAAAAGGAGCCTATGCTAAAACAGAATAAACTTCTTCTCGTCCTGACATTCTAATTCATATATTTTCATACAGGTCTGAATTAAATTATAAACCATGGTTTAATTTTGAATGTGGAGAATACTTTGTGATCTTAGATTAGCAGTTGTCATCAGATAGAAGATTATAATTAATATTTAGAATTTTATAATTAAAAGCAGATAATTGTTACTGAAACTGACATAGATGCCTAAGAAAACAATCACTCTACTCAATAATAAGAGCAAACATTTATTGAGTGTTATGTGCTAGAACAATTACTTGTGTTTTACAGCCATTAACATATTTAATTCTCACAATAACCTTACCTGATAGCTATTATTCTATTCTATATAGAAAATGACATTTGATTCACTGAAAGACAAAATTATTTTCCAAGGTCTTACAAATAGAAAAAGGCAGTACTGAAAGGGAACAAGATTTACCTAGATTGTTGTGTTCTGGTGTGCTTGCTATAGGTAACATAATTACTATCCTGTTTTTCAAATATTTACACATCTACAAAACTTCTTTGTTATTGAACATGACTTCATTCATTCAAACCTGGCTTATTAAGAGCAAGAAATGCTTCTACATAATCCAGTTATAATAATGGGTATACAAGACAAGTTCTCTGCTCTTATGAAGTTTACAGACATATTAAAAAGTCAATCCAATTACAGATTCAGGAATAATTTAATTATTTCATGAAATCAATACACTATTTGGGTTTGGGAAATGAGAATAACTTGGATCATGATACCAAGATAAGCAGAGCACTATGGAAGAAAATCTTCTTGAGGATAAACAACCTTGGAAAGTGGAAATTTTGAGCAATTAGAAAAACGTAAATGAGATGTATACTAGATTTAGACAGTATAAAATTTGTAACGTGTTTGTGAACTTCTGGACTTTCTTGTGGAGATATTGTGAGGCACTTGTGGGCTTTAAACTTAAGCCTTGGGGTAATGTTTTACTTTTATCTTCTCTTACTTCCCCTAGGATATATTGGCAAGTAGCAAGCAGCGTCATTACATCTAACTTAATTTCATCTCATTTGGCTAGAGATTTCATTAATTTACAACCTGGTGTCAATTAGCTCTCAGAGACAAATATGTCCACACATGTATGGTCTCTTATGGTGAAGCAGTTTAGTGTCTATGAGCTTGGCCCAGAATTGGTAATTATTCTTGGGGCTGGAGTTCAAATTTGGTGTTTTATTTACTTTGGTGGACTCTGACCAGTAGTGATGCCAGATATTTTCTTGACCCCTTTGTAGGACTTGCAACATGGGTGCCTCATTTACTCAGCCCATCCCAGTCAACTCCTTGTGGGAGGGAGCGTGTGAGCAAACGAGTGCAGGCACCAGAGCAACCTGGTGTAGGAACCAGTTGCTTTGGCACCTGCAGGAGCGAAGTCTGGGAGGGCCTCGCAGCAGTGTCCAGGTTAGGGGTGCCTGTGACCCCAAAGCTCCAGAGGGCATGTTACAATGCTCGCTTAGCTCTTCCACCTGCAGACAGCAGTGTGTTATCAGCTCGGCAAGCCCTTTGCCTCGTCACGTGGGGAAGCTGCCTTTCACCAGTGAGGGCAAAGGGCCAGTGTGACAGCCTTTTTGGGTACCCGCACCCAGTGCATCCCAAATTCTTGTTTGGTGCCCAAGAGGAATGAGGTCATGCAGATGAATTGAAGGATGGTGAATGTGGAGAATTGTATTGAGTGATGAAAGCAGCTCTTAGCAGAGGGAGCTGGAAAGGGGACAGGAACGGAAGGTCCCTCTCCCCTAAAGTCAAGCCGCCTCTCAAGCATCTCTCTTTCGAGGTCAAGTTGCCTAGTCCAGACACCATCTCTGAAGTGAAAGTTGCTTCTCCCAGATATCCAGCTGCTTCTCCCTGATGTCTGGCCACTTCTACTGTCTGCCAGCTGAGTCTGGGGTCTTTATAGGTACAGGATAGGGGCGGCCGTAGGTAGTTTTGGAAAAGGCAGCATTCCACTGGTTAAAAGACATTATTCAGAAAGAACCAATCGGGAGAGAGCAGGCACACAGAGATGGAAGTTCTCACTTTGGGCTGTAGGTTTCAGGCCTTTTGGCTCAAAGGTGTTTTGCCAGGGACCCACCCCTGTCTGCCTAGAAGTTCCCTCCCTTCTATAGCTATCAGCAGTACAGTTTTCAAAGTTTCCCAGTTGAAACTAATATTCATTTGGGAGTGAAAATGGAAATCCTAAAGAATAACACCCAAAGTTTTATATTTCCTAGAGTCTTTCATCTCATAAAAAGAATGGGAACTGCAGATGTCTTGTAATTTGTAGTCTTGGCTTTCTTGGGTTGAGTGATATTGGTGACAGAAGAGAAACATAATCTATCTGGCATTTTATTAAAGGATAGTGATAGAAAGGTGATTAAGTTATAGTCACTGTTCTCAGGAACTATACACTACAGTTTACTTTGTGGTGTTGATATTCCGCGCTGTCTCTCACCCCTGTCTGATAATGACGGGTGGACCCCAAAGGTCATTCGGAGGCATCCCAGCTTCCACAGCAAGGCGTCGCGGGGTCTCCCTTCTGACTTCCTAACCCAGTGGAGAGGGATGAGGGGCTCCACGCTCATTCTCCCCTCTCCTTACTGACTATTATAATGGATAATAGTCAGTCTCTTTACTGACTATTATAATGGATAATAGTAGTTTTATAAACAACTAAGTCTAAATTTGTAAGAAGGTCTTTTATAGAGATGTATACCAACTGCGAGAGTAACAAGTGAGACCATTGTTCTCTCAGGATGGATGGGGTGCATAGATAAAGAAACACCTGACTCAGGACTTGAAAGAAGTAGAAACTTGACAAATAATAAAGGGATGAAGAGAGCAAACGTTTTAGAGAGTAAGAGTAGCACGTATAATATTAGAGAGAAATAAATAAAATATATTTCAAAAATGATCCTTGGCCAGGTGCGGTGGCTCATGCCTGTAATCCCAGCACTTTGGGAGGCCAAGGTGGGCAGATCACTTGAGGTCAGGAGTTCGACACCAGCCTGGCCAACATGGGGAAACTCAGTCTCTACTAATAATACAAAAATTATCAGGACATAGTGATGTGTGCCTGTAATCCCAACTACTCGGGAGGCTGAGGCAGGAGAATCACTTGGACCCGGGAGGCAGAGGTTGCAGTGAGCCAAGATCATGCCACTGCACTCCAGCCTGGGCAACAGAGCAAAAATCTGTCTCAAAAAAGAAAAACACACACAAAAAAACAGAAAAACAAAAATGATTTTTAATTTAGTGCAGATAAAGCATAAAGTGGAAAAAGGAATAGTGACAGGAGATCAAGTTAGCAAGGTTGACCCAAGCAAGATTGTAAAATTTGCACCCTACCACAGTAGTTAAGCCAATATCTTTCTCCTAACAAATCAGCTTAGAATAATTTTAAAAAGAGAGTCTACATATTGAAAATTTTATCTGAAATGTCAACAGCCTAAAAAAACCCCACATATTTTAATCTTCTTAAATGTGAAATATGTTGCGTTGACATATATCAAATATTATTTAGTCAAGCAATTTCACTTAAACTCGTGGTTCACATTTATTCTGAACCTTTCAGCAAACTTTATGTGAATTGTGTGACAAGTTGTAAAATTGTTTATCAATAAATTCTCAGTTAGTTTAATAGAAAATAGGAATAATCAAAGATTTAAAAAATACAATCTGGCATTGCATAGGTAGTTCATAGTTTAGTGCATAAAGCAATAAATGTTTTCACAAATATTTATTATGCTAATGTAATGTAACAATACTTATTTACTTTCAGCCTGCAACTTCACAAAAGTAACTAGAGTTAAAGCAATAATTCAGAACATTTTAAAGTGGAAGTAAAAAAATGCTTTGTCTCATGTGGAAACAAGTATTCAGCATTTTAAAATGAGGTTTATTAAATTGTGTTAATTTTCAATAGAGCAACACATTGATAATTATTTTTCAATGTATAGAATACAATTTCTACATACACACCTATATACATAATTTTCTATATCTACATGATAATTAGTTCTAGATCACAAATAAATATATACAAAAATACAATAATTTGAAAACAACAAACAGCCTTGACTTATAAAGAAACTGAATTATTGAGCCATCTTGCCTTTTCTAATTTGTAAGTTTAAAGTGGTGTATATTTCAAGGCAATAGTTAAATTGATCAAGTTAAATTGAAGGATGAGTACTGTGTAATGTGACGAAAGAATCTCATAAAAAGAAAAATCACTAATTATTCATATGAAAGAAGACATATTTAGCATAAGAGTTAGCTATTTATAGTAAAAGAAGGTAACTTCAAAATGGTTCTATACACATACATACATATACACACACTCACACACACATACATACACTCACACAGACAGGAGCCTCTGTCAAGGGCCTTGTGCTATTTCTCAAATCACATTTAACATTTTTAAATTCAGAAAGAATTTTAAAAGAATAAATTTTGAACAAATCCAAGTAGAAATGTTTTAGTATTTTTTACAAATTATAGAATTACAATATGAAATTTTCTATTATTATCTCTTTTATAGTCAAAGGAAGGAAGAAAAGAGAGGAAGACATTCATGTTTTCTTTACAAAATTCATGGAGTCTTATGTTATTTTACTAATTAAAGTTTGTATTTCATGATGACCACAATATATAAAAATATTGATATTTTTGAAAAGGGCTTTTTGTCTGTGATTTTGATAAATTAAGCTGAATAAATACATGAGATGACCACTGAATTATATGGATTAAAGGAAATGAGAAATATCATCTATTGTTAGAAAAACTTTAAAGTTAAAGGGGATCTTCTGGATGGTATAGTCTCTACATTACCAACCAGAGCATGTTAAGGAAAATAGACATGATCTTAGCAGAGAGGATACCCTCACATACACACACACATACATATTTAGCTGAATTGGAGGGTGGTACTGTGCACCAGATTCCAAGAGCTTCTTGCAAAATGAGGAAATTATTTTTACTATGTAAGATGACTTACATCTAGCAAAAGAGCTAGCTCTTAACAGGAAGGGAAGATGAGAGAAACTAAATTAAGCAGAATTTCTAATATTTCACAGCCACTTAAACATGTGAAGAAAAGGACTGATATGAGAAGGAAATTACTCAGATCTTCCCTATTTTGGTTAAAGGATGGATAGTAATGTCTTCTCCTGGAATGAAGAGTGAGAAGAGTAGCAGATTAATTACTACCATTTTTGATATCTATCACTAATGCATATGCGATCTAATATTCAGTTTTGTTGCTTAGAGAAAGGCAGATTGTGGGAGTAAACCAAGAGTTAAGAGACTTACGTTCATGGCATTGCTCCTTGGTTAGTTAGTTAAATAAAAAAAGATTTAAAAATAATAAAAAAAATGATTTAAGTTCAGTTGCATCCCTGTTAGCAAATATCTTTCCCTAGAATATAATGTAAATATAATAGGCTTAAAACAAAGCAAACCTAGAAAAGCAACATTTGGAGACATAGTGAAAGTGTTCATAAAGTTAGAAGACTGAAAAGTAAGAAAAGTATTTGGAAAGCCTGGCTTGAAAATGGTACTGAACGTTATATTTATTATACTGTATTATAGACATTAATGGTGATAGTGATATTTCATGCCATTATTTTATTCCACTGGTGAATGGAATGAAATAGCACAAATGGGTATTCAGAAATCTTCTGTTCAAATCTTTTGCCTAATGGCAGATCGATGTGTAAACAATGTAGTATAAGTGTGTATTTTTTTCCTTTTTGTCTTTTTTTGGGGTCTCAAATATTTCTAAAACCTGTCTTAGTAACTTGTTCCTGTGTTTTGTCTTTTGTTGGCTTATCATTTCTTTACTCAAAAATCATACTTGCTGAATCATCCACTGTGTTGCAGACACTGCAGACACTGTTAGAGGTGAACAAAAAAGTAAAAATTAAGAAAAACAAAAAAGAAATAAAAAAATTGGGCACCATCCCTATGATACTTACAATAGAGTAAACTTCTGGTTGCAAGTGGGGCTTTCTGCACAGTTACTTTCTTTAAATAAGAGACAACCCAAAGTATAAATTAATCACGGTTTTGATCCTCTCTTCCTTAAGTTAAAGAAGAAACTGTCCTGGCTGGGCGCGGTGGCTCATGCCTGTAATCCCAGCACTTTGAGAGGCCAAGGAGCGTGGATCACAAGGTCAGGAGTTCAAGACCAGCCTGGCCAATACAGTGAAACCCCGTCTTTACTAAAAATACAAAAAACAAAACAAAACAAAACAAAAAAAACTAGCCGGGCTTGGTGGAGTGTGCCTGTAGTCCAAGTACTCCGGAGGCTGAGGCAGGAGAATTTGCTTGACCCCACGAGGTGGAGGTTGCAGCGAGCCGAGATTGTACAACTGCACTCCAGGCTGGGCAATAGAGGGAGGCTCTGTCTCAAAAAAGAAGAAGAAGAAGAAGAAGAAGAAGGAGAAGGAGAAGGAGAAGGAGAAGGAGAAGAAGAAGAAGAAGAAGAAGAAGAAGAAGAAGAAGAAGAAGAAGAAGAAGAAGGTGTCCTATATTTAATAATTTTCCTAATTTTCTGAATTATTTGTTTCAACACAGTCACTTATGACTGCAGTTCTCTAAATTTAGGCACCAGTAAACATAAACTCTGCCACGAATTTCCTGTTGAATTCATGTGGATATTTTCTACTGTATGCAAATGTTTTAGGTTCCAAAGCCAAGCCTTTCTGAAGATGAAAAATAAACACATCTTAAATAAAAAGGAATATCATTTCTGGAACTTTTCATATATATGTATATACTTCAATACTTTGGAAAGTGTTGAGTGAAGTTCACATTGAGTATGCAGCTAGAAAGATGGACTCACAAAACAAAAAAAGCAAACAAATAAATAAAAACAAATTTTTCCTTTTTGTGTCATTATGTATTGTACACACACATATACACATAATATATAACAATGAATAAAACAGTCATCCTAATCAATGCTCTAATTTTGTTTTATTGTAGCCTTCCTGCTTGGAGAGATGGGATCTTAGTCCCAGGGCATCAAAGATGGAATGAGAAGCAAAATTCTAAGACATATTTTTATGCAGACAATTCTGTCTCTTAGAGCTTGAAAATTGTGTGCTGAATTTCTGAAATTTTACTTCTTTTGTGTTTTTAACTATAACATTTAATATGTTGCATACGGTAGCATAAATTTCTTGTTTTATGATTGGCATCAATTCTTAAATACTTTTTTGTTGGACTCATTCACTTATTTTCTGTATTTTCAAAAGCACATATTTGTTTTTTTGTCTGTCAAGGCAGAGAAGGAAACGTAGTAATTTTATATCTCCTCTATCTATTAGCTGGAATACTCTGGTTAAATGCCTTAATTATCTAAATTTTCTTAAAATGTACCAACTTTATAATGTTATTCTAAAAACTAAATACATTTACACATTAGAAAAATGCTTAGCATATTATATTAAAAATGATAGCAACAGTTCTTATTTTAGATATTGTTACAATTATTGATTTTCAAAAATTATACAGCTATTTTTTTTATTTATTTATTTATTTTGTTTTTTTGTTTTTTTGAGACTGAGTCTCACTCTGTCACCCAGGCTGGAGTGCAATGGCACGATCTCGCCTCACTACAACCTCAGTCTCCTGAGTAGCTGGGATTAGAGACGCGTGCCACCACGCCTGGCTAATTTTTTGTATTTTTAGTAGAGACGGGTTTTCACCTTGTTAGCCAGGATGGTCTCAATCTCCTGACCTCTTGATCCGCCCGCCTCGGCCTCCCAAAGTGCTGCGATTACAGACGGGAGCCACCGCGCCTGGCCATATTTTTTATTTATTAAATGCACTTTGTATTGTATTTCATGGCATAGAAAATGGACACATTTATTAGATTCCAAAAATAAAAACTTCAAACATAAGTAGAGGACAAAAATTGAAAATATAAAATAAGTTCTGTATATAAAGAAAGCTTTGTTTATTATACACATGATTTGTTAGAAAATTGGAGAAGCATTTTCACGTTTGGAAAAGCTAATATGTAAATATGATACGTGTTTGGTTTTGACTTCTTACAACATTCGAACTTCCAAGAATTTTCCTACTGCTGAGAAATGAATTTTCCAAATGGAAATTTTTATATTTGGACAAAATATACCAGCATTTTATGAAATCATTTTTTTCATATACAAACAAGATACAGCATTTCTGTGAGATATTTGAATGTGTATATTGTGTGGTTATTTTTCCATAAAGCATGTGTTGAAAAAAATGAAAATCTGTAAATAAAACATTTTAGGATACCCAATTTTTTATATATTTTTGTCTGAAATATAAATTTTACATTTTTTCCATATATCTATTTGTAAAATTATACATTCATGTTTATAAACAAAGAGTAAATACTAGATTAATTATAATTTCTTAATTTAGCCACTAATTACTTCTAGAATTTTATGTGCAAGATATTGAGTAATCAGTGAATCATGGAATAAGATCACCTGTTTTCTCAAGGCTAACACATTAGCTAATAAAGTGTTATTTCTTTCTATGAGATGATTTAAAACATATCTGGCATTGAATCTTATTAAGTAAAGGTTTTGTAAGAAAAAGCCCAGGTTCCTGCCGGGCGTGGTGGCTCACGCCTGTAATCCCAGCACTTTGGGAGGCCGAGACCATTCCGGCCAACATGGTGAAACTGCGTCTCTAGTGAAAATACAAAAATTAGCTGGGTGTGGTGACACATTCCTGTAATCCCAGTTACTGGAAAGGCTGAGGCACAAGAATCGCTTGAAACCAGGAGGCAGAGGTTGCAGTGAGCAGAGATCGCGCCACTGCACTCCAGCCCGGGTGACACAGCGAGATTCCGTCTAAAAATAAAAAGTAAAAATAAATAATAAAATAAAAGCCCATTTTCCAAATATCAAAATAGTTAAATAATTATTTATAATTTATCTCATTATTGACACGTTTTTGAATCTTAGATTTTTTAAAATGCTACTTTAACATTAATAACAATCTTTGAGCTTTTGTAATTTAAATATTTCAGTAAAGGTCTCTATATATAGTATGTTAAGGAAAACAAATATGCAGAGATACACAAAACCACTTCACAAATATAAGTAAGAAATTGTTATGTATTTGTGTGTGCACGTTTGTGTGTAAAAAAAAGATGACTTTATTCAAGAACCACTTATTTATAAGTTATATTATATAAAAAACATGAACTTTATAACACATGTAGGCTGAAGGTATTACCCTGTTCTCAATTTTTCCTCATGACATGACTGTTTTCATTATTTAAATTTCTGTTCAAATGGGATCCTCATAGGTCCTTCCTTGCTAAAAATAGTAAGTTTATTCCTCTACCCAGTTTTATTCTTCTCTACAACTACAACCATAAAAGTGATATTATTTAATTAGTTATTACTCAATATCCTCCTCAACTAAATTGTAAGCTCAATATAGACAGACTTTCTTTTTATAAACTGTAAGGTCAAGAGTCTTACAGATAGTAGATGCTCAATTAATGTTAGGAACTGGGTAGAGTATTGAATTAATTAGAAAGCTACTCTGAAAAGAATACAGAAGCCAGGATGTTGATTTGATTTCAGGACATGAGAGTTACTTAGAATTCAAGAGAGTCTTTTGTTTTTTTGTTAGCTATCTCTATACAAGCTTTATAAAATTACTTAGTTTCTCTGCCCTGGGTTTCTCATATTCAGTATAAACATTTAGGTATAAGATTGTGTTTGTAATAAAATATCTCTCTAAAATGAATAAGATACATAAAATCTAAAAGTCTGGGCCTGAATTCCAATTCTAGTTATGCCACTTACTAAGGCCAGTTCTTGTAAATGTAAAATGAGAATGATTAAACTTACTCCATTGGATTCCTAAAGCATATAACCCAGAGTAAAATATCTTCTAAATGAGTTCAATATATAACTCTGTATGTCATTTTTTCATTTTAAGGTACTTTTAGCTCTAAATAATTAATAATTTACTTACATATTTCTGTACTAATGTAATCATGAAGAAGATGGGCATTATCAAGCCATTTAGGAAGCCTAAATCTCCTCTGTTTGGATCCTGGATGGTACTCAAGACCCCATTGACCAGGTTATAATCTCAAATACTGAAAATACTATACACAGGTCTACTTCCGTATAATACTCATCACAACTTCTTAAAATCAAACATATTAGTGATGTGCATCTCTGGAGGAAACTAATCCAGAATAAGTCTGAGCATAGCTTTTAATGCTGACTGTAACTCAGAATGAGTAGCGAAAAACAGTATTGCATGACATTGGCTTGGAACACATGACCACTGAGCTGTCATTGTATTAGCAGTGAGGTGCAGTGACAGGTGTATTGGAGCTGTGAGCAGTATCAAATATATCCAGGACATTATGCAATGATAAAGCAGTAAAAAGATCTCCTCTCTGAATGTAATATTCACTTCTGCCTAAAATCAGAAAATATACACATGTGGATTTCAGCATACTGACAATGACATGTCAGAAGTTGGTTAAGTTTGTGATAAAGCTGCCTCTAGCTCAACTCTAAATATAGTCATCTCTGACTGCTAGATACTGCTGATGAAGCTCCCAACTTATTTTGCATAGGAATCTAAATATTATCTGAAGGCAACTTCTAAATAGAAGTTAAATCAGTATTCACTAACTGGAATATTCCCTGTTGTCATCAACTTGCAAATGTTGTAACACAGTTAAAATTAATTCTAAGTTCATCTGTGTTTTCTGCTTAAAAAAAATGCACACTTTTAACAATCCATTACATATTGAAATAAGAGAAAAAATTGAGAAAAGCAAATAAGTTTAAGGAAGTTAACTTTGGTGATTGGTTCTAAAGGAAAAATATGCAGTAATATATTATTCTTTCTCCCACAGTAAAAGATTTTCTATTCTGTATAAATGAGTTCAATTAAACATGCAACTTTCCTTGACATTCACTAGCTGATAATGTTGTTGTAAGTATTTTTTATTCTCTCCACTTCTGAGCACTCTTTATGATCCTCTGCCTCTTCATGTTAGATGTATTATATAACTTGCTTTGGTTATAAAATTTGAGAAGTCATGTTTGTCACATCTGGATTAAATCTTTAAGATTTAAGGAAGCATTCAATTGTTTCCTGTCACTATTGATTAGTTTTAGTTTTATAGAAATGAGTATATATCAAATAATACGTTATTTACTCTTTTGACTGAATTTATCACTCTACATATTTTAATATTCAGCCTTTTGTTCGATATCTCTCTAGGTAATTTTTTTAATTGTTGATTAGTATTCCATTGTATAGATATGCCACCATCTTTTTACCTAATATATTATTCTGGGTTCTCCAGAGAAACAGAATCAATAGGAGATATCTATCTATATCTATCTATCTGTCTATCTATCTATCATCTATCTACCTATCTACATATATATGTATATATATTTACATATAGAATTTATTATAAAGATATAAAAGCTCTCTTGATTATGAAGACTGACTAGTTTCATAATCTGCTATCTGCAAGCTGGAGGCCTAGGGAAGCCAGTGATACAGTTTCCGTATGAGTCTAAAGGCCTGAGAACCAGGGGAGCCAATGAAGTAAATCCCAAATTTCCAAGGCCCAAGAATCAGCCGATCTGATAATATAAGTACCAATATGAGTGCAGGAGAAGACCAAAGTTCCAGCCCAAGCCATCATTCGGAGAGCAAATTCCTCTTTCTCTAACGCTTTTGCTCTATTCAGATCTGCAAGGATTGGATAATGCCAGTCTACACTGAGGAGGGCATTCTTGTTTACTCACTCTATCAATTCAAATGCTAATTTCATCTGGAAAAGTCTATGCAGATACACCCAGAAATAATGTTTAGCCAAATTTCTTTGTACCTTGTGATATGATAGTCAAGTTGACACATAAAATTAATCATCACACTCATTCACCTGTAGATTGGCATTTGGGTTATATCTAGTTTTGCCTATTAAAAATAAATCTTCTATGAACATTCATGTGCAAGTCTTTGCATGGACATGAACATTTATTTCTCTGGGAAATCACCTAAGAGAATGCCAATCTGTTTTCCAAAGTAGTTGCACCACTTTACTTTGCAACCAGTAGTGTATGAGAGCCTCTATTCCTCCACATTCCCACATAAATCATTCTAGTAAAGTACTTTTAACTTGCCTTTCCCTAACTATATTAGTGATGTTGAGCATATCTTTGTGTGCTTATCTGTCATCGTCATATCTTCTTTGTTGAAGTATCTATCAAATATTTTCCTTTTTATGTTGGTTGTTTGATTTCTTATTATTGAGTCTGGAGTTCCTTATATAAGCTGGATTTTTTAAATACAACTTATGGTTGCAAATACTATATTCTAGTTTGTGGGTCTTTTCAATTTTTTTTACTATAAGTTCTAGGGTACATGTGCATAACGTGCAGGTTTGTTACATATGTATACAAGTGCCATGTTGGTGTGATGCACCTATTAACTCCTCATTTACATGAGGTATACCTCCTAATGCTTTCCCTCCCCCCTCTCCCACCCCACGACAGGCCCCGGTGTGTGATGTTCCCTTTCCTGTGTCCAGGTGTTCTATTTGTTCAATTCCCACCTATGAGTGAGAACATGTGGTGTTTGGTTTTTTTGTTCTTGTGATAGTTTGCTGAGAGTGATGGTTTCCAGCTTCATCCATGTCCCTACAAAGGACATGAACTCATCATTTTTTATGGCTGCATAGTATTCCATGGTGTATATGTGCCACATTTGCTTAATTCAGTCTATCATTGATGGACATTTGTGTTGGTTCTAAGTCTTTGCTATTGTGAATAGTGCCACAATAAACATATGTGTGCATGTGCCTTTATAGCAGCATGATTTATAATCCTTTGGGTATATACCCAGTAATGGGATGGCTGGGTCAAATGGTATTTCTAGTTCTAGATCCCTGAGGAATCGCCACACTGTCTTCCACAATGGTTGAACTAGTTTACAGTCCCACCAACAGTGTAAAAGTGTTCCTATTTCTCCACATCCTCTCCAGCACCTGTTGTTTCCTGACTTT